>NC_000006.12:163707153-163858668 GCF_000001405.40 Homo sapiens
AAATACCTGGTTCCCATAGTGATGAGCAATTAGGATATAAATGCATGGGTATGGATATAAATTCTAAAATCCTTGCAGGAGTTTAATATTTGCTTTACATTTAATAGGAAAAGAATGCCGTTGTTTTCTGCCTGGGTTGCATTTTTTTCCTTTCCTTTTACAAATTGGTTTAGCCACATCCTGTACTTTATTTGCTCCTCTCTCCCATAACTCTAGAATTAGGGTACATTAGAAGCTATCCGTAAACTCCAGTGAGGACATGTGATAAATTTAAGCTGGAGCATTTAAAACGAGCTGGGAGAGTAGAGAGAGAAGTAAAAGCAGCCATTTGTGATGTGGGTGGCAGTTTTTAGAAAGTGTCTGTGGAGGGCTAGTGGCTTGGCATGAGGAAAGAGAGGCGTTCCTCAGTGTTGTCCACAGAACAGACACTCCTGTGACAGATGTGATCTTCAGGCAAAGTGGTGCTCGTGCACAGGCTTACGTTAGCACACCTGCTGGTGCAGAATGGTAGGAGAAATATTTCCCCAAAGGACAGAATGCGGATGGCTGGACAGAAACCACTGGGGGAAGGTTCCTGGGAGGAATTCCAGAATGTTTTCTCTGGCAAATAGGACAGAGGAGGCAGAAAAGCAAACCGGATCTCACTCCAAGTCTTTATGGACACAGATGGAAAGGAGAGCAGGAAGAAATCACAGGTCACACGGTGGGAGACACGGTGTAGCTGAGGGTAACCTAGTCGTGTTTAGGTGTGACAAATGACTTGCACTGTTTGCCAGACAACAGTGCCCCCCCATCCCCCACGGGGGTGTAATTCCACTAGTGACACTGATTCAGTTTCCAAAAGAAGCAAAACTCTTCTGCTATAAGATTCTTGATTTGTAAGAGTTTCCCCAGCTCAGTGCTTCCCCTTAGCTTTTTCCTTTTTCATCTCTAAGAGGTTATCACTTCTCAAAAACAAGAGTGCTTTGCCACTTCTCTAGTAGCAAGGTATGAAAACATGCTCTAAAATACTTACTTCCTCCAGCTGCACTGCTGCAGGCGGCCGCCTGAGGGATGGAGATGTTCTGGGCTCAGGGTGGACGGGCCTCTAGACAGAGCTATGGACCCTTCTCCAAAGCTGTGCACGAGGGACGTAGATTGGCATAAGATGCTACACAGAAAACCTGTCGTCTAGATTATTCACGTGGTGGAAAACCTCCATTGGGGCATATTACCATAGAAGGGAAAAGGGTCTGTTCTCTCCACCACAAGCAATGGAGAATGTCCCATATCAAAGATAAGTTTGCAGCCAAGGTGGCCTTCATTGGTAACAGGTTCCATAATTGGCAATGATAGGTATTTTCCTTGCCTCGAAACACAGTCAAGAGGGGAGAGTGTGAGAAGCCAGGGACTTAGGACAGGAGGTGAGGTGATGAGTCATTTTGGTTTCTCAGAGCTGACCTCTGTTGTATTTTTATTTGGGGGTTCAGTCTCTGGCTTGAGGGCTCTTCAGAAAGGAGAGCTTACTTTTGTCACGGAAGGAGGGATGGAGACCTCACCCTTTTGCATGGCCAGCTGGAGCCCCAGGTGTCGCGTGTCCAGCTCGTGGGTGGCATGATGTCATGTTTGTTGACCACGTTGGACCTCATTCTGTCCCGAGAACTTAACTGGGCTAGGAGTTGTGAAACCAGATTTCTTGTTATTTGCTTAGACTTGCTTTTTTTTTTTTTTCCCCATATCCACAAAATGAGAATCCTGGGCTTTTAGTATAATAAGGATTGAAAAATGATTATAAAATACAAGGCAAAAAGATCCATGCTATTTAAATGTTTACTATTATTTTGAGATTCATTTTATGTGCCATACTGCTTTACAAATAGTCTGTAATATTTTAATACAGCACTTTATCTTCGTAATCAAATCTTGAGAAGGCCCCCTATAGCTAATCTTTCTCAAAATCGGCTTAATTTATTAGTGGATAACTATACTTAGGCCTCTTTCTAGAACCTTATGAAGTTTGACATGCACTATTTTTAGACATTACGGGTTCTCTTACTGAGACGCTCCAAAGGGAACAGTGGGGGCAGATGTCCTCCAGGAACCTTGGCAATAAATCCCCCTGGGTGCATGACCTGGGGTCACCAAAACTGCCTGCTACCCAGCAGCAGCAGAAGGGAGACCCAGGTTGGCAGCTGGAGTGACTGACAGTGATTTCCTTTCTGTTCAGTGATGAGCCCACCATGAAGAAAGGGCACGAATCTGCTTCCTCTCTCCCTGTCCTGGGAACGGTGCCTGCCCGTGATGGTATCCTCAGGCCCCCCTCTCTGCGCCAGCAAGATGTCCCAGGGGACGTCTGTGCATTCAGCCAGGTGACCACTAGAATAAAATGTTCTCTAGGACCACCTAAGAGGTAACCCTATATTGGAGATACTGAGGAGAGAGGCCGGGGTGGCTGATAGGGTGGGGAGGCACCATCTGTCTGAGTGCACCCTCCCCTGAGACCCTCAGGGTGTCCTGGGGAGACCAGCAGGTTGGAAGTCCTACGCTTTGAAATTTTTAATTAAACAGGAACCTTTGAAGGAAGCTTTTGATTGTTAGTAACATCCTGACTTGCTCCCCCCATGTGACAGGCTCCCCTTTGTGTGTGGCCCCTCCTGAGTCCACATCCTTCATAAGGAGCGGCTTTACCTCCCTTCCTGTAGGAGAGGAAGCCAGGGCTGTGGCCCAGGGAGGGAGGGGAGGCAGCCACTTCTCTCTTCAGTGCAGTTCATTCCAGTTTGGCTCTGACTGTGGCCAAGCAGGGAAGGGGTGCAGGATGGAAGGCAGCAGCGTGTACTTAGGCAGCTCAGTCAATGGAGCCCCCACGTCTCATCCCCTGCCAACCCTGGGCTCTTCCTGGCTGGATCTGGGCAGCCCAGGGCAGAACCTAGAGTCCAGGGCCACTGGTTCTCCTTGCCAGGTCCCAGGACCCAGTCCTGTTGAAATAACAGAGTTGATGGGAATGCTCTTTGCTGGGCACGAAGCACAGGCTTTAAAGGGCTGCCCATTCGCCACCACACTAGATACTCCCTGAAGGCTATGGGCACTTCCTAGCTCCTCAGCACACCCACAAACAGACACTAGAGGTTAGGGAAGGGCGATGCCACTTTCAACAGGCTGTTGACACTTAGCAGCATTTTGTAGACCAGCCTAAATCAGTGGTTCCTGAGCATCCTTATCCTCTCAGAAAGCTGATTTTGAGCCAGATTAGCTATAAGGGCCCTCTCCTTTCAATATTTGATTATGAATATAAAATGTCTTCCTAAAATCTTATAGAATGTTCATAAACTAGCATGGCACGTAAAATGAAGCCAAAATAATGCTCATAGTAAACCTTGTACTTAAATAGCTCAGATTTTTTTTCTTGAATTTTGTAATGATTTTCCAATGCTGCTTATGTAACGGCCCAACATTCGTGCTCATAGATATGGGAAGAAAGTCAGCAAGACTAGGTTTTGGAGACTAGTCTAAACCCAAGTGTGGATCTGGGTCATCTGGAAATCAACAGGCAAAATCCTTGGCTGCACTCAGGCCTGTAGCTGCAGACTCTCAGCCCAAGAGCTTGTGTGTTTGACAAGCACCTCGTGTCACTCACAGGCGTCCTGCTCTGCATCGATATGGAGGAGCACTGGAGATTAGAAACCTCTGGAAAGAGAGGAGATTGCAGTGAAGCCCCGGGGTCCTGGGTGTAGCCAAGGAGGTGCTTCATGATTTTTACTTACTTCCTCATCTCTCCACTCCTGGTTACTTTTTGGACTTCCTATTCCATTTCCTGCTTTCATAGAAGCCTAATTTTTAATATTTAAGTTTCAGTCAGCCGAAGAAAGGCAATCTGTCTTCTCTTTCACACAGTTTATGTCTTGAAGGATTTCTCTAATCCATTCCAGCAGTCGGTTAAGGGAAAGTTTTATTTAACCCCTGCATCCATGCCTACAATTGCTACTTGCCAACATTTCATTACTTCTTGTAGAATGTAAGTGCCTGTTTCTAAAAATGAAAACTTATAGAGATCAGAGCCCTTCATGATACCAGCTCTCTGCTGTGCTTGTGGCCACCCGATGTTGGATACTGGGTGATACTGCAGAGCAACGGAGCATCTGTGGGGAGGTCCAGAATCGAGAATGGTCTGATGAACAAAATATGCCACCAGTCTTGTTTGCAAGGGGGCAGCACGTGATGGAGGAAACAAGGTCCTTTTCAGTTCTTAAAGTCTTCACTGACAGGTCACAGAAGTATAGGGTCCCTTTTGCCTTTTCCTTCTTGGCGATACTTAAGTCTGGCTCAGATGCTTTTGTGTGTTCTTTTAGAAACTATCAACCTACTGCACACAAAATATGTGTACTTGGATGGTGTTTGATACGGTGTGGATGCTCAGGGTAAAA
Source organism: Homo sapiens (assembly GCF_000001405.40). Lineage (NCBI taxonomy): Eukaryota > Metazoa > Chordata > Mammalia > Primates > Hominidae > Homo > Homo sapiens. The sequence goes on from NC_000006.12 coordinate 163,711,554, forward strand.
AAGAAAAAATAGCCATAACCAATTCTGGAAAGGAAGGAATGAAGAAAAAGGTTGTAACCTGCTGGGCGGGTCTAGAACACTCCACACCCATCCCCCAGAATGAAATCAGCTTTCCAAGTCATCTGTTTGGGCAGGAGTTTCCAGCCAGTTAGAACTCTCTGTCCTCCCTTCCAGTCTTTTAGGCAACGCTGTATTTTGAAAGCCAGATGAGGAAGGCAGATGTTTTTCCCATCTCCACCCACATCAAGACTGTTGTTTGCCAAATAAACTGGGTTGGGACACAAATCCTGCAGAAGGGCTGCCACTGGGGGCACTGGAGGCTTCTAGCCCGGGTCAGCCCTGCCAGGACCATGGGTGGCGCACCTGTTGTCAATTAACTGTCCAGGCTGAACTTGGGAACGAAGGCCAGAACAGGCGTGGGAGGCTGGTCCTCCAGCTAAACTTTGACTTCAAGCTCAAGGAAGGGTTTGAAAGGGTGGGAAGAAAAATATTGCACATTGGTTGGGTGATCAATATTTATTAAATTTAGAGCCATTTATACTTGCCAGTTCTGCGTTTTGTAGTGTTTTTGAAGCAAACGCAACTCATTTTCTGGCAGAGAACTGATGCTTAGAATTAGAAAAACAAAGTATTAAGTAGAACTGGCATAAGACCCCATCGACGAGGGATGGATTTCAAAACTTCTCAGCCAGCCGTCCCTCCGTGCACATTATGAGTCTGGAAACCCAGGGATCCCATGTGAGCGCGCTAGGGAAGTGGAGCGTTGCAGGCCTCCCGAAACACAGCTGCCCACTGCCTGCCCACATCCTCCTTGGCAGCTTGGGGTGAGCTGCCGCTGAGAAGCTACGCTGGCGCTGAATTTCCTCTTTTCAGCTGCGTACAAAGATAGGCCCTTGAATTGTGGCATCACAGCACGGTGCTCCAGCCCATGTGTTGGCCTCTGTTCCCCAGGGAGTGTTGGAGGGGAGCGTGCTGATCCAGCGTCCAGCTCTTCCGGGAGTGGGCTGGCTGCTCTGAGGGTGGCTGTGGGTGAAAGCCTCCCGGGGTCTGCTTCTGGGGGAAAATGAGGCTGGCAGTGGCCTGACCACTCGGTTTTCCAGCCACCCAAATTCAGTTGCTCTCTGAGCTCTTACTGTACACGGAGCTGAAATATTGTGCAGGAAGCAATGAATCAGACCCTTTGCCTGCAGGAGCCTACCCTCTGGTGGAGGACACCCACCAGCATGAGGATAAACGCAGAACTGGGACAGCGTGAGCGTGAGAGGCACAGGCAGAGCAATGCATGCTGGGTGTGGACCAGGAGAGGAAAAGCCACTTTTTTGCTTTTTTATTCAGGAGGACAAATAGCAGGAGAGGCTTGTTCGGTATTTTTCAGCTTATAGGCCCCCCGACCCCCTTCCTCATCTCTTTCTTGCAGGGCCTACAGCTATTTGGTGTTAAAAACTGAATTTTGGACAGATAAAAATGCCAGTGTTTTCCTGGTCTGCCCGGCTCTGGCTGCTCCATCTTGGCCACGGTGGCATGGCTGGGGTTGGAAAGGGGAACCTGGGGGCCTGCAGGGAGCCAGGCACAGTCAAGCGCAAGCTCCACCTCTCTGTTCCTCCCCTCCACACACTGTCCAGGGCCATGGTCACCTGGTGCTGGCTCCAGCGAGTCCTGACCCCAGCTCTGGCTCAGGGCTTCCCCTGGAGACTTCAGCAAGTCTCCCCGAAGCCCTGCGTGCCTTTCCCACCAGGGAATCCCTCCAGCCTCAGGTTTCTGTGGGCTCCTCCCACGCAGGAGAGGGTGCCTGGAAAGTGGACATGTCCATTTTCAGTCCCCCTACCGTCTCCCCTCCTCCCCCCAACTCCTCCCCTCCCCCCACTCCTTCCCATTCCCTACCCTCTCCTCCCCACCCCACCCTCTTCTCCTGCCCCCCACCCTCTCCTCCCTACCCCCACCTTCTCCTCTCCCTCACCCACCCTCTCCTCGCCCCCAACCCTCTCCTCCTCATTCTCCACTCACCCCCATCTCTTTGGTGAGGCTGTAGAGTGACTTAGGTTATCCCAGAGTGACCTGAATGTTAAAGAAGGTGCTCCCTGTCTTTCCACATTGCTCCCCTTTCCTTTCCCCTCCTTTCCCATCTCTTAGTCCCCCTTACCTCCCACTTCCCTCCCTTCTTCTCCCTCCACGCTGCCCCTCACCCTGTTCTCTTCAGGCTGTCTGGCTGCCTGCGAGGGTCTCCCTGGGCACCCAGCTCCTCCACAGGAGGGTCCCAGGCCAGGCCTGCAGGGAGGCTGGGGCAGGTTCTCAGCTTGGCCTCGGGCTGACCCCACTTCTCAGATAGAGAAGCCCATATTTAGGGTATAATGGAGGAGTACGGGGAAAGGAATTAAGACACTGATGTGGGGATGGGAGGGCAGAGGGGAATGTCGGGGGGACAGCGGGGAGGGGAGGTTGATTACAGCCTCTCAGGATGATGTGGATGGGTGGGAGGGAGCAGCGACCATGGAGGCAGAGACAGTTGGGGGCACCTTAGAGGGAGGCGCAGAGGGGTGGTGACCTTGTCCCCGGAGGGACCTCCTCCTGGGCTCCATGCTCAAGAGTTGAGGTGGTGTGGGCTGAGGAGGCCAGAGGTCAAATGCATGGGAATCAGAAGTCTGGCTCCAGAGAATGAGAGCAGCGAGCCAGTAGGGCCAGGCTGCTTTAGGACCAAGGTGGCAGCCAGAGACAGTGGCAGTGGAGAGCCGGGAGGAGACTGACTCTAACAAGGGGAGGTTAGGAATTTCATCAGGGGCCAAATGGTTCGAATGTTTGTGTCACTCAAAAGTCCCAAGGGGATGGTCTTAGGAGGTGGGGCCCTTGGGAGGCGATGACGTCATAATGTGAAGCCCTTGTGAATGGGATTCCTGCCCTCGAAATGGAGGCCCGGAGAGCTCCCTCGCTCCTTCCACCACATGAGGACATAACCGGAAGGCACAGGCTGTGAATCAGGGAGCCCTCCCCAGACACAGGATCGCCTGGCACCTTGATCTTGGACTTCCCAGCCTCCAGAGTGTGAGGAATAAGCCGCCGGGTCTAAGGTGTTCTGTTAGAGCTGCCCAAACCAATGAAGCCAGGAGCCCTGGATTACAGCCTCTCCCTCCCCACCTGCCAGGGCACCCCTCTCTCTAACTTACCTGAACATGCCCCTGGGCCGCAGTGACTCTGGGGCCCCAGGAGACTCAGGAGAGGGCATGGTGGACACCCAGCAAGGCCAGCCCCCTCTTCCTTCATGAATTCTGTCACTCGCTAAGCGTAGCATTTACAGAACCATCAGAGACATTTAAGGTCCATAAAACTATGCGTTTATAGGGAGCATCTATGTGTGGAGTTAGCGTTTGCTGAAAGTCAACATGGTGTTTGTTGTCACTTTATAGGTTTTGCTTTGCAAACTTTTCCTTGGTTACTAAGCTTGCCATGTGGACAGGCCCAGCGGTGGCTGTGATCTTATGGGCATCCTGAACTGCGTCAAAGTGATTTCTAATGATGCTGTGAAAGTTAAAACAGATTAAAAGCCAGTGCACAGTGGTCTTCAATTTAGTATATGTTTACTTTACCAAGAAGATTCACAATTACAGAAAAAAAAAAAGAGTGCTACAATATTGGCGTGAGGGACCCTTGGTCACTTTGTTATTAGGCAATCACTGTTTTTGCTGCCCTCACCCAAACCTTCTGCATTTATCGAGTGCAGAAGGTTTGGGTGCCTTCTTGGTAGACTTGAGCCTTTTTTGGAGTTAAGGTCTTTGCTGGGACAGAAAGATACGGCAACAGTTGAGAATTTGGTGCTTCAGGATAGCTTGACGTCGGAAGCACTTTCAGGCACCATTCCTTCAGTTTTTGATCTCTTTAGTGAAAGATTGAATTAACTCTAATTATATTTTATCCATTGTAAATTTGCATTTGTCATTCATTGTTCTCACCTCCTAGTCTCTGCCTTGTCTCTCCCTCAGGGCAAAACTGATAAATGAAGAAGGAAACCAAGGCTCCTGCCACTGAGTGTGTGTCTCCAAAAAGCACAAAGATCTTCCAGCTGTTTACTAACGTGGTGCCTCTGTCTCCCGACCCCCCACCTGTCCCTTCAAGCATGGTCACCCACATGTGCTCAGAATTGGGCACCTAGTCAGCAGCTCCAGTGGCTTCCAGGACTCTCCTAAATTGACTTCTGACTTTTAGAAAAGGTGGAGTCCCCTTTTCTGCTGCTGCCCTGGAAGGTGCTGAAGCGGAGCTCAGACTTAGGCTGCAGGAATGAGCGAGGGGCCCCTAAGAGCCAGCTCTGGCATTTGTTGGGGAATGGGTCACTGGTCTCTAGCAGCAGGAATGGCAGTGATTCCTCAGCTCCTCTTGAGTGCTGACCAGGTGCTTGGTGCTCTTCCAGGCCCTTCATGTGAACTGGCGCCTCTCATCCTCACGTAGCACCGTGCCAGTGGTCATTTTGTTATCCTTGTTTATAAAGGTGAATGAGGCCAGGCGCAGTGGCTCACGCTTGTAATCCCAGCATTGTGGGAGGCCAAGGTGGGTGGATCACTTAAGGTCAGGAGTCCGAGACCAGCCTGGCCAACATGGTGAAACTGTCTCTACTAAAAAAAAATACTAAAAAACCTGTCTCTACTAGAAAAATATAAAAATTAGCCGGGTGTGGTGGTGCACACCTGTAATCCCAGCTACTTGGGAGGCTGAGACAGGAAGATCACTTGAGCTCGGGAGGTAGAGGTTGCAGTGAGCTGAGATTGCGCCATTGCACTCCAGGCTGGGCGACACAGAGAGACTCCGTCTCAAAAAAAAAAAAAAAGGGTGAATGAAACCTGGCACAGAAGTGACCTGCTCCAGGTCACAGAGCTGGTGAATGGTGCATCCTAGAGGTCATGGTCCTGGGGGTCCTGCTCTTAGACCCCTGCTGTGTGAGGCCTGCCCTCCTGCTTGTTGCCTCCTCTCCATTGTGGACCAGTTCCCTGTGGAAACCTCCCACTGGCTTCACATAGACTTAAGAGAAGCCCCTTCCCTTAGCCCCTGCCCCCACACCCTAGCCCTGGGCAGCCCCGTCCAGGCTCCCCACCCTCCTGCCCCAAACCTACCTTTGGAGATGGAGGGTCAGGCTGTGCTGTGCTGACAAATAACCTCCAAACCTTCACAGTTTAAAACAAAAATGTATTTTTGCTGGGACCAGAGCACAGGTCTCCTAACTCCAGGTGCAGTGTGGGCGGTCCAGAGGCTGTGCCCATGACAGGCCCTGCTGGGGCTGCCCAGGCTTTGGCTGCACCTGGGCCTTGGGCCCTTGGCAGAAGGCGGAAGGGGAAGTGGGCACCATTAGGGTTCATTGCTTAGAGTGAGTCACGTGGCCACGTCTGGCTTCCAAGAGGCAGTGCAGACAACCCTGTGATGGAAGTGGGCGGGCTGGGACCTGCTGGGGGTGTCTCTGTCACCAGATATGCTCTCACTCCTGAGGGTCCTGGTTCTGGTCACACCCTCTGTCAGGATGCAGGAACTGGTGTTTCATCCGGAGGCCAGGTAGAGGGTCCCCTCCTCTGTGACTGCCCTGACCAGACACCACGAAATAACCCCGTGATTGGCCACCATCACCTCACTCTATTCTTTCTGTCTGACATTGATTACTACCTGAAATCTTCTTTTTTTGCCTATCATTTATCTGTCAATCATCTGTTGTCTATGTATCATCTATTTATCATCTCTGTACATGTCTATCATTTATCTGTCAATCATCTGTCACATGTCATCTGTCATTTTTCTCTGTCACCTATCATCTGTCTGTTATACCATCTGTCACCTATCTGCGCATCTGTCAATCAGTCATCTATCTGTTTAATCTCTGATGGACGCTCCCTGGGACAGCCGTCTGGTCTGTTGCCCCCCACAGTGTCCCCAGGCTGGAGCCATGTCCACCACGTGGTAGGTGCTCAGTACTTACTTGCTGAATGAATATCTGACTGAGAGGCCTGTGTGTGGTTGTAACATGAAGAGGCCATGGGGCCAGGTCACAGTCAGCATTACCATCCCCTGCCTTCAGCCCTGCCTCCTGTGGGTGATGGCTGGGAGAGGCTTCTGTTTTGCGGTGGAGGCAGAGAAGCAGGGGTGGGATCTGGAGAGGGTGTAAATAGTGATTAGAAGGAATGTAGGCGTGCAGGGGAAATGAGAGCGTCTGGGTAGCTGTTCTCTCTTATTTCATGTTTGCAGGATACTTTCAGATTCCAGAAATTTTTGGTGGTGCCCTTCAAGAGTTTAAAAGTCTAAAATCACCACTCAACAAGTGAGCCTTGTACTGTTTTAGTAAAACTGTTGACCACCTGTATTCATTTCCTAGAGTTGCCATAACAAAGTACCAAAAAATGAGTGGCTTAAAACAACAGAAGCTGTGGAGGCCAGAAGTCCAAGCTCAAGTTGTGGGTGGGGCAGTGCTCCCTCTGAAACCTGTCAGGAGGATCCTTCATTGTCTCTTCCAGCTTCTGGTGGTTTCCAGCTTGGAGCTTCTCAGCTTGTGGGTGCATCATTCCGTCTCTGCCCCTGTCCTCACCCGGCTTTTCCCTGTGTGTCTTCACGTCTCCCCTCTGAGTACATCTGTCCCCATGTCTGTCTTCCTCTTTGTAGAAGGACGCCAATCATATTAGATTACGGCCCACCCTAGTCATCTCATCTTAATGGGGTTGTATCTGCAAAGACCCTGTTTTCAAGTAAGGTCACATTCATGGGTGCTACGGGTGGAGTCTTCTAGATGACTTTCAGGGGACATAATTCAGACCATGGCAACTGACCCCATCCCTGCATCTTCACAAGTCATGTTGCAACAAGCCCACTATTGTTCTTTGTCGAGGGGCCTGACCAGTGCCTCGAGTTGTGCCCTTGTTTCCTGGGCCCCTGGCTACTCAGTTCAGCTCCATCTGACTGATGCTGCCAAACAGTGGGTTTGCTCAGTTGAGTCGAATGACCCAAATCTGGGGCTACATGTGGTGGCTTATTTATCATATGCAGGTGCCATGCTTGAGAGCCGCTGGATGGTGAGAGGGGAACTAGAAGAAATGGTCTGTTATATTTTCTTTAAGTTAGGAAAGATCCCTGGTCTGCAGTCAGGAGAGCTGGTTTTAGCCTAGTTTTGCTGCTTGTTAACTATGTTGCATTGGAAAAGTTATTCTTTCACCCTGGGTTTCAGTTCCTTCATCTGTAAAACTAGGGGATAGAACCAGAAGACTCTAAGGTCAAGTCCAGCACCGTAACATCAACATATTTGTAAGTTTTGGAAAAGATGAGACAATTCCCAAAATCTCTTTGTCTAGGGGTGGTGGTGTTTGTGTGTGTTTGTTTTTAGCTTATGTGTTGGTTCATGGAGCCAGATAATCAAATGTGAATGATTTTTCAGTTCTTCACCTTGAATAATATATTTTCCCCAAGAAGCCAGCATGACTCTGCTGCTAATCAGGGTTTCCAAATCATTAATTAATTCATTAAATAATTCAGTCGAGGTCCAAATGCCAATCAAGATGCAGAAAGAACAAGTGTTTTCTTGCTCTTAGTTATAAAAGCAGCCAAGCACAGCGTTCGTAAGTGGAATCTGGTTTGTGTGTGGCGTGGTTTGGTCAAGGGAGATGCTGGTGTCAGTGAGAAAGCAACACAGATGCTGTGGGTCTGGGGCCCAGATGTTCGGTGGCTGCGACGATCGGGCCCTGGCAGCACAGGCAGCCCCGACAGGAGCTTGTTCGTTCACAAGCCCACGATGACTGTGGTTCCCGGGCAGCAACAGTAGCAGATGGAGGCTGTGTTCCCACACTGGGCCTCCACCGCTCAGGGGAGGCATGTGTGAAAAGGCTCATTCCCTCCTTGGGTTTCCCAGGACCTCCTGTCAAGCTTGTTCTCTCGTTCCCGCTAGTCCAGCCACCTTCCTTGGCTGGAAAGGTTGGCTCTGGCAAGGAAGCCGCAGGAGCAGCTGTGAAGAGGGGAAGCCTAGCCTTTGGTGAGGCTGGAGACTGAGAGTGGAGGATTCAGACAGGCCTCTCCAGCCTCAGCTTGCAGGCTGACTGTCCAACAGCGGGTTCTCCCTGGTTTGCACATTTGGGAAGATTTCCTGTCTTACAGAGAATATTTTAGGAGTGTCGTCGGGAAGACTAAGACCACTGCATGTTTGTGTAGTTTGAGCCGGTGTTTCTCAAAGTTTAATAATGTATGCACCCCCTTTAAAGGACATCCTTTTTTGATTTAATTATGTTTATTATTCCGTTACATTAATGTGTACAAATAGAAAACTGGGAAAAAAACTTTATAGTTAGTTCTTATACATGTAACTAAATCACTAAAACAAATTTCCAAATTTAATGTGGAGAAAATTATAACAACAAATAATATTCAGATTAGTATTAATTGATTGTGATGACTGATGTCTTGCTGAGAAAAAGACCTAATGAATTTGTTTGTAACTGCCAATTATTATTTTGACATGTGAATTAATTTACTAGTGCACTCTAAGGTATAATACTGAATGGTTTTTTTAAAAGCACTTACCAAAAGTCCTTCCTTGAATATTGACTGCTGTATTCACTACTAATGAACCGTCACCACTTGGTGTGTACAAAGAGAGAATCCAAATAATACATCTGCGCCCAAAATAAATACGGACTAATGCTGAGTTTGGCATGTGTTACTGCTGTGTTTCGAGCAATGACTGTTCTCCCTCACGTTCCTCTACTCAAACTATTGCAAAACCTTTGTTTGTACCATAGGTGGGAATGCAGTACTTTTTTCTCAAGCCCTCTTTTCTTTACTCACTAGCCTCTAAAATAATAAGAATACTAATATGTTATCTCATTGGATCTAAGTAAGATGCCTTGTGATTTTGTGGACCATTAGGAAAGAGACACTGGTGCCGGTTAAAATATGAAACACTCTCAATTAAAGATGTGAAAATGTGAAAAAAAAATGCATGTTAGAATGAATGCAATAGAGAATTTTCGCAAATATTTGTATAGTTTTTATGTGTTAGCATTTTTAGAGTGTTTATGTACACGAATTCATTTAATCCTCACAACACTCTGTGAGGAAATGTGTCAGCCAGAACAGGCTAGCTTTTGTTGTGGAAACAACACCCAAATTTCAGTGGCTTAACTCAACAAATGTTTATTTCTTGTGTGTGTGAAGTCATTCGTGGGTCTCAGAGACTGTCCAAGACTAAGTGGAGGCTTAGCTTTCTAGGCTGTTTCCATCTTATGTCACCTCAAAATGAACTTCAGCTTTCAAGATTATTTCTCTTCAGGAAGAAACCTGGAGAATTGTTTACCAGCTTTTAAGTATTTATCCCCGAGAGTAACTCACATCACTACCAGTGATACTTTGTTGGCCAAAGCATTTCATATGGCCACACCTAACTTCAAGGGGGACATGTACCTGAAAATAGAGGAGAACTAGAAATTTTACTGAAGAGTAATGTTTTCCCCAAGTAGGCTATACCCATTTTACAGTTAAGAAAACTAAGGCACAGAAAGGTTAATTAACTTAGCCAGGGTTCTACAACAAATATGTGACAGCACCAGGATTTGAACCCAGCCACTGTAGCTCCAGAGTTGTACTGTTAACCACCATCCTATGCTTTCTCTCTGAAATATTTTACATTATTCCATGAACTCTACAAAATAATTTGAGAAATCAAACTTTTTGGAAAGACTTCTCAGTTGAGAATTATTTCAAAACAAGCGTTGTTTAAAAAACATTTAAAAAGCAAAAGAAAACAACATGAATGAATAACAATAGATACTGGATGATTGTAGGGCTTTGTCTTGAGGACATGGTGCTCTCAAGGCGGACAGAAGTGCATAGCAGCATATTAAAGGCGCAATAGATATAGATGATCATTGGGCTTAGAAGCACAGACATAAACATAAGCTTTGAAACAGCACAGAGACAATACATTGTTTTTAAAAGATTTTCAAAATGAAGACACAAAACAAAATATTCCCAGAGCTAACAGTCACATCCCTAAAACTGATAAATGCACTTCAGTTTCAAACACATGACCTAGAAACTTTGAAACCAACAGAGGCACAGAGACGCTGAATACTATTCTCAGCTATGAGGTGTGGTCATTGTGGTCTTTTTTCATTTTCACATGCCACTTGGCATGATTGTTATTATTATTGGATACATGTAGAGGTCACTGATGGCATATGATTATCAAAATGCCAAATACCAAAGATTTCCTTTGCTTGCTCCAAATTTGTCATCCATTTTATCAATGTATTTTTTTAATAGAATTGTCTAGTTGGGGTTTTAAATCATTTTAGAAAATCAGATCTTAAACTCATGAACTGGTAGTTAATGATGTGGTAGTTATTCTCAGCTGTAAGGCTTTTGGTATTGAAGTTCAGCTCTCTTTTATTATTTTTCCCCCAAAAACCCTTAGTTAAGAGTTTTTAAAAGTCACGGGTGGCTGACTATGGAAAGCATGGGTGGGTAGGAGAGGTTGTGAGATGGGGACAGGGAGACCAGTTGGGAGGTTAGTTAGCTGGGTCCGACAAGGACATGACGTCTGACAGTGGCAATTATTATGCAGAGTGCTGTTCACACGCTGTGCGTATGGCAGGGGAGTGCTAAGCTATTGCAGGATATTTCTGTGTCATTTTAAGATGAGTGAGTTATTGTCCTGGGCCTTGTAGGCCAACTCTCTCTAATTTTACCCTTAAAAATACACCCAGTTTTACCAAATCATCAGGGTGGTCACTTTGCAGTTTGCAGAAACAAACTGGAGAGAAATACAGACAGACTAGATATGGTGTAGTCATTACACAGTCAAGTTCATTTGTTCAGAAGAGTGTTGGGAGCATCCAGCCGAGGGCAGGCCTGAACCTCTGGGGGTGGAGAACCACATTGGGGTGGGTGGCGCTTCCCTGGAGGCTCAGGTTCGACTGCCGTGGAGACACAGATGAAGGTGACTCATTTAGACAGATCTGCACGGGGACATTTGCAGGTCATAGGGGCTGTGTGCGAACATGGGCCCTCTGCAGCCAGGAAGCTATAACGCTGCTCTCCAGGCAGAAGCTGCTAGCAATGGTGCTGACACGGCCCAACTACCCAAGAACTGTACCTTCCAGACAGCCTTATTCCCAAAGGTAGCTGTAACTCTGTGGCTATAGGGGCAAGTAGAATTTCTTCCCTGTCATCTAGGCCAGCATATATTTTCTGCGTGCTTACTGTGTAGCAGTTGAACTCACAAATCCACCTACACTCCTGATGAGCTGGAGAGGCCATTGTTGTCCTCGGTTTACCGCGGAGGGAATGGAGGCACCAAAAGGGTAAATGAATTGCCCAAGGGCACACGGACGCCTCTCTATGCCCAATGTTGTTCTTAACATTTTTAATCAATAATTTTCAAAATAATGTAGTTTTCAATAAAAAAGTAGCCTGAAGTCTTTTGTATAAAAAGCATGTTTAGTTCATGGATCATTCATTCACTCTCCAAAGTTCTGGGCGTAGGGGGATAGACATGCCGGGAAGCTTGCCTTTGGAAAGATTGCAGTCTAGTGAGGATACTGAAGTTAGGCACACATGTGACTCTGATAAAAATCACTGTGCAGTAGTGTAACTGCCACAAAACTTCAGAAAAGGAGTGACACCCACCCCCAGCTCAGGTGGCTGGGTGATCTGCACAGACAGGTGGGCCTTAAAGACCCACCTGTGTGGGAATAAGACTGCCTGGTAGAGGTGGGACAGAGGTGAGGCTCTGTCCTGGGAAATGTGGCCAGTGGGGCTTCCGGGATGATGGCTGGGGGCATTTTCGCCTACCGCCCTGTAGTCTTGGGGAAATGGAACAGGGATCTATGGTGGAAGTTTCTGAAACACTCTGCAGTGACAAGCATGGGCAAGCTTCCTGTCGACCAAATGGAGCTAAACAGATCCTGAGTGCTGGCGGATGGAGACGTGGAGGAAAGGGGAGTGGGCCTTGAAGCGTGGACTAGGGACCCAGAGGAGAGAGGGAGGTGTCAGAGGGTGAAAGAGCTTGCGCAAAAGGCAGAATGGGGTTGGGAGTGGGATTAGCCCACGGGTCCACTCTACTGCATCAGGAGCAGGCCACTGAAAACCAATATGCCGACTGGAATAACCATTAAACTAGAATGCAGCAATTCCCTTGCCCTTCAGAATTTGGAAAGGCTCTTGTGGGGTTATTTAGATGATCTAGTTCACTTAATGAAAATGACTCAGATGAGTTTTAACTTCATTTTCTCCCCTCAAGCCTGCCGTTGGACACTCAAAACCATCCAAGGATTTCAGCTCTTGACATAGTTGTCATCATTCTGTAAAAACATAGGCAGAGCAGCATGCATTTTAGCCCCGAATGAACGCACAGGTGGATTGACCACAAAGACACTGAAGAGGCACCTGTGTGTGCCCCTGCACGCGTGGCTGGTGCTGGTGTCTGTAGGGGGATCTAGGTGAGGAGGAAAGCCAGTTCACAATCACAGTGTCTGCGTGAACCTGAGTGGCCAGTCGGCTAAAGATGTCTCAGAGGAAAGGAACATGAAGTCCAAAGCCTCTTCCAAATAACTGTTCATATCCGTGCTGAATTTTGCATTTATTTTGTGGCCTTTTTCTAAAAGAGGGTTGTGCAAGTATGTGAGATTGAAACCCCACCAAATTTGGAAGTGTCCCAGCTTAGAATGTCTTTGGGGGTTGGGCCAGGTGGCATCTCTAGTGTTAGATCTGTGTTTTCTTGCTTTCTCAATTCCATATCCTCTTAGGCTTGCAGCCTTGAAGGAGAGACGGAGTCACCCCAGCGTGGGTGTGGGCAGCACGCATAGGAAGAGGAGTGGCACCGCCCCCCGGGGCCTGGAAAGGGAGTGCACATGCTGAGAGTGCCCCTGCCTGGAGGGGATGGGGTCTTCTTCCAGAGTTTATGGGCGCAGTCGGAGCTGCCCACCCTCTGTCCCTTATTTCTCCCCACCTGCTACACGGATTCTTTCTGCTGCTTGTCAGCATCCCTAAAAAATCAAAATCAAAATCACACATAAAGCCTCCAAATGGAGAGTGAGGATGGCAGGAAGGCAGGTCTCTGTGCTCCTGAGGAAATGTCTGCTTGCTGCACATGGTGACATACATTTCACTTCTTAGGTGACAGTGCCTGGACCCCGGGCCTTAGTTTCTTTTGTATCCCATAGCATTTGTAAATAAAGATCTTATCAATAGTGAGACCTCAGTGGATACCCACGAGTTCAGCTGCAGCTACAAGTATGTGTGAGTGCCTGCCAACCCCGTCCCCTGAGCCACACAACAGCCCCATGAGTTGGATGTATCTCTGCTCATTTACAGATGGAGAAATGAAGTACAGAGAGGTTCACTGACTTGTCAAAGTGTGTGTAACTAGTTCAATTCATTTATTCAACACGTTTTAAACTTCATGGGAAAAAAATTCAAGGAGTGGAGAAAGGCCCATTCATGCTTGATGTTCACTGGGCCGTAAAAACTGGACTTTTCACAACCGAGGGACCCTTCTGCAGGGTCCATCTGGACAAGGTCGCCAGCCAGGGGCATCAATTTCAGGTTGCACACAGAGTGCACACTTACCAGGCCTGATTCAGAATAGGGAGCCAAAAAATGTGTGCGTGGACATGTGTGTACACGTGTGTATGCATGTGTGTGCTTGCATGTGTGTACACGTGTGTATGCATGTGTGTGTGCATGTGTGTGCTTACACTTTTGAATGTGTGCATGTGAAGAGAGAGGAAGACTCAGAATGGCAGGGGTTGGGGGGACTTCAGGCCACATCATGTCCACCCAGGGGTGATGGCCCTGGGAGAATCGACTGCTTTCTCTCTGCCACTGCGTCTCCTCCACTGTGGGCGAAGGAGAGGCTGAGAGGCCGAGAGGGTCGAGAGAAACACGGGCCCAGGAAGGAGGGTGACTAACATGTTTGACTTCTTGTTCTGACAGCCTGAGGGTGATAGATATGATAATTGCAACTCTGGCCAGGTGAGAGCACAGCAAACCAAGGAAAACAGGTCTTCAGGGTGGGCAGTGGGACCCAGAGACTCCTGGAAGACCAAGATCGGGAAGCACTTGCAGGGAGGAGATGTTTCAAAATCAAGTAATAAACTGGAGAAATTGGGCTGCAGAGAGAGCGGCCATGATTTACCCGCCGTGCCTGCCAGGCGCTGCAGTCACTGCTTTGTGCTCTGCTGAGTGTGTGGAGGCCCAGCGGCTCTTGGCTGGGTTCCAGACATCCCAGAATTGAATTGATGGGGCCTGCCATGATGGGTGCTAGCTAGCAGGAAATGTAAAGAATGAGGCCTGAGCTAGGTTCCTTGTTCTCTTTTCGTAGGAGAGTTTTCTTCCCAGACCAAACCAAGATAGTACCTGCCCAACATACTTCCTCCTCCTTTTTCCTCTGGGGCTGTCTTACAGCAACTTGCGATCTGTTTTGTGGTTCCAGCCCAATGGGCTCATCAGTTTATTCAACTGGCTTTTAAAATGGCCTCATTTTTCCTGACGTGGGGAAAGAGGCCACAGTGTAACCGGAGGAAAATGACTGGCGGCCCTTCTGCACGGCATTTGGAGTCCAGTTCTCCCCGTGGTGGCAGTGCCTAGGGGACAGTCAGGACCACCCCTGCTTATGCTGCAAGCTGAACTGTTGGTAGAAAATGTGGGGTCCTCTGGCAGCCCACGGGCAGTCGGTCAGGATGAGCGTCTTCTCACCCTAGGCCTCAGGCCAGGCCAGCCCACCCTGCCTATGCCACGGGCATTGCTGAAAGGCAGAAGGCCAGGCCAAGGACATCCGAAGCTTGATTTTCCTACCTGCCTTGGCTTTCTTCTGTTCTTGGCAAAACAAATACTGCCAGGAAAGGCAAGCAAGGAAGGAGTAAGACTCACTGGCAAGTTGGTGAACATGGGGCTCTGGGAGGAAAGCGGTCTCCGGGTTCCTTAGCCCCAGAGCTGCCAGGAGGGAGCAAGAGGGGACACCCCAGCTGTCTCTCCAGTGGGAGCATGTCATGCTCAGTGGCAGCGCTGATGCCCAGACTTGGTGTGGCTCTCGTGGGATGTGGTTAGGAGAGTGCATTTGCACCTCCAGGGTCCCTGTGGAGACCCTGCCTCACCACCTTGTGTGATCTGGGCACACCATTGGAGCTTCAGTTTCCTCATCTGAAAAACAATGATAATGGTGCCCTATTTGAAAGATTGGCGAAAGAATTGTTGATATGCCCAGCCTATAGCAGGTGCTTGATCAATTACATTCTTGCTTTCTGGTATTTCTGAGCTTATAGGCGTGCATAGGATAGCTCTTTTAAAACTGTGTGGTGGCAAAAAGGTCATGACATTAAGTGACCACGCACAGGAGTTTTACTGGCACGTTTTCTGCTAATCGGCCAATCTGTTTCACTGCGAAGAGCCTGGCCTTCCTTGAAGAAGATAGCATCAAAGGCAGACAACGGAGTCGCATATGATTCAGTGGTTGAAGAACACAGACCAAAATTAACATGAAACTCCAAAGCAGGATCCTCCTCTTTTTCAAAATAAATAATTTTCTGTTATGAAAACTTTTAAGCACACTTTATGTTGAAAAAGTTGATCCTTTTGACAAAATTGGTGACTTTTTCTAATTTTAACTACATTTGAAAACTTACCCAAGAATGTGAGAAATCCTATTGTTTTATCACTTTAGATGTATACTTACATGTTCTTCCTTTCTTTTTTCTTTTCTTTTTTTTTTTTGAGAGTCTTGCTCTGTTACCCAGGCTGGAGTGCAGTAGCATGATTTCAGCTGCCTGCAACCTCTGCCCCCCAGGTTCAAGCGATTCTCCTGCCTCAGCCTCTCGAGTAGCTGGGATTACAGGTGCATGCCAACATGCTTGGCTAATTTTTAGTAGAGATGGGGTTTTGCCATGTTGGCCAGGTGGGTCTCGAACTCCTGACCTCAAGTGATCCGCCCACCCCAGCCTCCCAAAGTGTGAGCCATTGCGCCCGGCCCTTCCTTTCATTTCATTCATTGTTAATTCATTTGTATCTTCCTGGCTCCTGATCTGTCACTGTCCCACCAGCTTGAGGGGTAGTGTTTAGGTAGTAGTTAGGACTTTGTTGATATACAAAGAGATTTCCATTTCAATACTTTGGAAGAAATTGAGATCGAATCAGACAACATTGCTGCTAGTTATGAAATTATGTTACTCCCTGAACTAAAAACAAATAAATACTTGACAGTTGTAACTTTTGGTGTATTGATTGTGTGGTCTGCTCATCTCATCCTGCCTGTGTCTGTTAGACCCACTTCCAGCAAAGACCAAGTTCATGGTGTGGGTGATGTTGGTAGAAATCACTCCTTCAGTCTGAGGGTATTTCCTGGTTTATTGTGTCATTGTGGATTAATCCTCAATAAGCATTCATGATAATATAATAGTCACATAAAAACCTACCAACTGTTTCAACTTTGTTTATCGAGAATTAGCATGCACCAAGGACTTAAAGAGTGCATTAAATTTAAAGGCTTGAGACCTCAGGGCTGTGCCAACTGAGCTTGGTTGCCAACTACTTTTAGCAAAATTGCCTTTTCTTAGGTCACCTTGCAGCATTTTCTTTTTAAAGAAGGTCTGTGTTGGTTTCCTGTTTTGTAGGCACACTTCTTTGTGCAGAAGGATTCAAATTAGTATAACGACTAAAAATCAGAAAAACTCTCTGTACATTCATGCACTTTAATCCACATTTTAATTTCATAGAAACAGGCATACCATAAACACTACAGTGTCTTGCTCTTCTCTGAATAAGTAGGTCTTGGGGCCCGTTTCATATCAGCATAAACGGGTCTGCTGTATTTTAAAATGGCAGTAGGACGTGGCTGCATGTGTGTGATTTATTTGAACCAGTGCTTTTTTATAGGCAGGTGGTTTTCAGAGTGCTACTACACCTAAGGCTGCAATAAGCATATATCTTTGCCCAGTGTGTATTTTAAAGCACATTCCTGTCCTGATAGGGCCTCTTTTTCTTTCTTCAGTGTGGTGGCCTTGGTTGGAGAGGACTTTTAATCAGGTGTGACATCAGGAGGTGGATTTGTTGTGGTTGTCGGCACTGGGTGCTGCCTTTCTGGGACTCCCCGGCTCCACGTTGGTCCCTCTACACAGGCAGCCCCCTCACCCTCTCACCTCTCACAGTGGTCTGCAGAGGTGCCAGAATCAGGACTGACAGCCAAGAAGAGCCCAGATCCGACATCCTTAAGCTCTAGACACCACTGTCTGGATTTACAGTCACACAGGCACCACTTCCCATTGTCTTTTCCCTAGCCCAGTGGTTCTCAACTGGGGCAGTTTTTCCCTTGGGATATGTGGCCCTGTCGAGATAGTTTTGATTGTTGCCACACTGGGAGAGGGAGTACCTCCCACTGGCATCTCGTGTGTAGAAGCCAGGGAAGCCGCTAACATCGTGCAATGCACAGCACGGCCCCTACCACAGATTCCAGCCCCAAGCGGCAGTAGCGCTGCTGCTGAGAAACCCCGCTCTAGACTTTTCTTTACAAGAGGCAGGAAAAGATCTGTTTGTGGGTTAAAGAATTCCTTGGACTCAGAAAAGTCCCCGATGCACCCAGGGTTTGTATTGAGATCAGGTTTGACCAGACAGAAATGAGACCTGGCGGCACGGCGTGTGCAGGGCACGGGAGAAGCTGGACTGACTTCCATGAGTAGGAGGTGAAAGAGCCCGTCACTGCACGAGTAGCTGGTCACCACTAGGGCCAACACCAGCTCTCAGGGACAGCACCTGCACGCTTGTAATGTGAGTGGAGCCCTGGATAGCACGTGTCCAGTACTGATGGAGTTTCGGAATGAAGAACACCAATCATTTTAGGTGGAACTTTCACAGGCTGCCAGCTCTCTTCCCAAGAATTGGATGGACATAAAGAATAGTGGCTCTCAGGTCCTGTGATTCTAGTTAGGATTGCTAGAATCCAGCCAGGAACAACCTGGGGTACTTAAGTGGCAGAGGAAGGTGAGAGTAGGTGGGGAGGGGGCTGTGGTCAGAGACAGGCAAGGCTGTGTTCATCCCCTTTCTCGAAGCACTTTAATTCCCAGAGAAGGGAGATCTAATCTTCCAGTTACTGTTTTGACAGAGTGTGAGGAGTCTGAGTGGAGAGTTTAAGGCCCAGGTGGCAGAACTGAAGATAAGGCATTAGGAGCAGTCCCAAAGGGCCCCTCCCTTCCAGTGGCTCCCCGGGTGTGGAAGGCCTGCGGTTGCAGGTCGGATGCGACAATTTGGGCCCTTTCAGCTCCCGAAGCAAAAAGAAAAATGATTCTTCTATTCTCCAACTCCCGCTCTTCCTTCCCCTTTTATTTTTCTTATCAGAGGTGATTTTCTTATGAGGTCTTGGGAGAACCCGGGGCAGACTGTAACCTACCTAAAGTGGTTGAGTCTCCTCCACCCATTACTAAAAGCCACATCAAATTCTTTGGTGCCTGTCTTGCTTTGTTTATAATTCTATGGAATAAGCTACTCTTTTGCATAATTGGCGTTAATTTGAAAACATGCCAGACTGGACCTAGGCTTTTGGTGGGAAGAACCAAACAGAACTGGAAAGAAGAGGAAACAGGTATTTCTGGAGTTTATTACCTGTACAGTCGGAACTGTGGGATGCAGCATCCCCATTCAGAATGGTCCCCGGCGAGCAGCTGGCCCTCCCTGTTGCAGGGAGGCAGGGCCTGCGCCTGCTGGAAGTAAGTTGAAGAAGGCAAATGTGTTCATTCTGCTCTGGGGTCTTGTCTTGTCTGCTGCAGGGTGAGGTGAGGAAGGGGCTTCTCTTAGAGCCGCGGAAGGACCAGCCTTGCTTACCGTGGCTTCAGCCCTGTGGGAGCCTGGTGGGCTCTGACCCCAGAATCACCAGATCAAGAGCTCGAGGCCTCGGAAGCCCTGAGCCTAGCCACAGCAGCCACGAACCCAACATGGCTTTGCCCCTTACCACCCCTTACCACTCCCCCCCAGATAGCCTGGGGGTGTTTCTGAAGCTCTTGTGACTCTGCGTCCTCCACCAGAGCCAAGCCCCCTGGGATCTCTGTCCTGTCTGTGTTGTGGAATCTTCTAACGCAGTGCCTGGTCCACGGTGGTGCCTGGAGTGGAAGGGATTCCTGCTGCGGCTGTTTTTCCCTGTCACATTCCTCTGTCACCTGCTGAGCAGACTGCCGGCTGGGGCTTGTGCTCGGCATTGGGGGGTCAGAGGTGCTCGTGTCACTGACCCGGCAACAAGGGGCTTGTGCTCTGACGGGGAGAGAGATGCATGGATAGGCTTGAGCTGTGAGTTGCTCCTGGGTGCTGTGCAGGGAGCAGCCACTTCCTGGGCCACGAAGGGACAGATGCTCATGTGGCTGGGTTCTGGGCATGGGGACGTCTCCATAGAGTAGGCAGAGACTTGGCCGAGTCCTGTAGGTGACCTTGGAGTCCCTGGAGTGGAAACATCCCAGGCACAGCAGGAAGCAGGAGGGAGGCTGAGGACCCTGACAGAGCCGGCTGCTGGGGAAGGGCGAGGGCTGCCCTGGGCTGGAGGGGATGGTGAGGGCCAGGATGGAGGGTCTGAGGGAGGCCATTTCGTGAGGCCCAGAAGCCCTCTAAGGTTTGGGCTCTGTTTGGTAGGCCATGGAGACCTCTTACAGGTCATCTGGCAGGGGAAGGCACTGCTTGTATTTGCACTTTCCTCATTTACCCTGGAAGCATCTGGTATATGAACTCAAAAGGACACATGGCTGCAGGCCTCAGGCACGGCCACCGCAGAAATGCATGGAGCACGTGTTAGGTGCAGGCATCTAAGAGGCTGCAGCTGTCCTGTGAGATAAATAAACACCATTATCGTCATCCTCATCTAACAGACAAGGAAATTGAGGCACAGAGAATTCAGGCCTCTGTACAGGGTCACTCACCAGTAACTTACAGGTCAAGGGTTGGGCCCAGACAGTGCGACCCCAGAGGTCAGCTGCCATCCACCAGCCAGGCCCCCTCCTGAAGGATGCTGCAGGACAGTGAAGGCCTGAGTTCAGGCAGTCGCAGCAGATAGGGGGTGAGTCATTAACCAAGGCACTGGCGGGATCCGCTTATCAATGAGATGAGGGCATGGGAGACCCCTGACACTAGGCCTCAGCTCCTGGCCCTGAGCCAGGATGTATATCAGTTTCTAAGTATAACCAAATGGCATGCGCTCCAGAGCAAGGGCTTTCTTTCATATTCTTTATTTATGAATTTATTTATTGATACATGAGGATACATAAACAAATTAATTTCCTTCCTACCCCATAAAGTAGACAGTGGAGTGTCTGTCAAGCCTCTCTCAGACAACCCAGTCTTCAGGCTGTGTCCACCACTGGCCGTGGGCCCTCACATTGTGATTGCATAATGTTATTGTCAGGATTAAATTAAATATTCATGTGATAATCATGTTATCAGCACAAGGCCTGGCACACTGTAAGTGCTCAGTTTGCTAGTTGCCTTCTCTTTCTTTGCCTCTAAACAGTTGCTGAGTTAATTTGAGAAGCCTCTTTTATGTTAGTATAAAAACAAGTCTTAGCCGGGTGCGGTGGCTCATGCCTGTCAGCCCAGCACTTTGGGAGGCCGAGGTGGGCAGATCACCTGAAGTCAGGAGTTCGAGACCAGCCTGACCAACATGGTCAAACCCTATCTCTACTGAAAATACAAAAATTAGCTGGGCATGGTGGTGGGTGCCTGTATTCCGAGCTACTTGGGAGGCTGAGGCAGGAGAGTCGCTGAGGCAGGATAGTCGCTTGAATCCGGGAGTTGGAGGTAGCAGTGAGCCAAGATCACGCCACTGCACTCCAGTCTGGGTGACAGAGTGAGACTCTGTCACAAAAACAAACAAAAAACAAACAAACAACAAAAAAAGAAGTCTCTTCCCACTACCAGAGCTAGATGATATTTATGCTGTGTTTCCCTGTTTGCCTAGGCTGGTAGGATGCTCAGCATTAAAATCTGCAATCAGAAGCTGAAGTTGTCTTCACCACAATTCTTGTATGTCACCACAGTTCTTGTATGCTATTGTTTCCTACACTTTTTTCTTTGTTTCTCGTTTTGCCTTGCCCTAGTTACTTCAATGTAAGCATCTGAGTTTGTACTGCTGTCTCAAATCCATTTTTAGAAGTAGGAAGAAGATAAATATAATAAAGCTAAATATAGATTTAACAGATCAGTTTTCTGTCTCATCGTTGAGACAGATATAATGTCAGGACGAAGAAAACAGTGGAAATATTTGCTGATTTTTGTTCTCTTGTTTTGATCCCAGTGAAAAACTTTTATCTGGCACATGTTTAATTTTAAGCAAGAAGAGATTAAATCAATGAGGACAGTGACCCGAGCTTTTAGTTTATTGAGTGGATTGGAACTGTCCAGATTCTTTTCAATTAATTTATCTCTTTCTGTCAACTACTATTGACCTCATTTTGATGTTGGTTCTCCCTTCTGTAAAATGGAAGAATGGAACTGAACAATTCCTAAGTTCTCTTCAGTTTAAAATCTACAGACCAAGATTTTGAGTTCTTTTTATAGTTGGGTGATTTATTTCCATAAGCTGCAGGTTACATTCATTCTTCCTGTAATTCCTTCCCCCAGTTTGATCAGTGGAATTCTGCCGGCACCGTTCAGGACCCCTATGTACCTCCATGCTCTGAAGGTCTGCACTGGCTGTGCTCTAAGAGGAATATGACTATTCCTCATTTTAGACATGAGGAAGCTGAGGTTTAAATAACTTTCCAAGCCACTAACTTAGGAACTAAAGAAAGGAGCCCTTGAGCCTGATGCAGACCTTGGTTCTTTCTTGCCTTTGGTACTTTGCAAGACTCTAAGCAGGCCCAGGTTATGCAGGGGGTGCCTCTGGACCACCTCAGCATGACCTGCTTTATATATGGGGTGCCTTGGAAGATCTCCTGTGAAAAGAGAGTTTTGCTTTTAACAGTGTGAAGCCAATCGCACCACACGTTGGTGGTTCCTCTTGTCCGTTTCTGCTGGAATTGAGGTAGAATCCCCAACTCCTGTTCATTCCCTCATTCACCTCTTTTCTCCCCGCCACTTACCTGGCTGTTGCTCAGCACAGCCCCTCTGCTTCTGGAGTAGCCTCCCACTTGTCAGCCACTTACTGAACTCCTTTCCTCAGAATCCAGCATTTCCCGTCCCTCAAGCCCTGCAGAAGCTCTTCTTATCAGTTGAGATGGTTGACATGCAGTTACTTCAGAAAATTATAATCCCGATGCTTACATAATGTGTTTTAAACAACTTTTTATTTTGGGATACTGTGGTTTGTCATGCACGTGTAGGAAATAACACAGTTTCCCTCAATATTCTATAGTTATATAATCTTACAAAACCATATTCCAATCAAGAAATTGATATTGATACAGTGCATCCACCATATTCAGATTTCACCAGTTTTACATGTACACGGGGATGTGGCTGCGAGCGCACGCACGTGTGTGTGTGTGTGTATATATTCCATAAAAAGGTAGTGTATTAGTCCATTTTCATAGTGCTATAAAGAACTGCCTGAGACTGGGTACTTTATAAAGGAAAGGTTTAATGAACTCACAGTTCAGCATGGCTGGGGAGGCCTCAGGAAACTTACAGTCATGGCAGAAGGTGAAGCAGAAGCAAGGCACTTTCCTCACAAGGCGGCAGAAAGGAGAATTGTCGAGCGAAGAGGGAAGAGCCCCTTATAAAACCATCAGATCTCGTGAAAACTCACTCACTATCAGGAGAACAGCATGGGGGAAACTGTTCCCTCAGTTGGATTATGGGATTATTGAGATTACAATTCAAGATAAGATTTGGGTTGGGATACAGAGCCTAACCATTTCAGGAAGCATGAGGGATTCTTGTATGAACTCTTCTGTGTCTTGACTATGGTAGTGATCACGGAAATCTACCTACATATATGATAAAAATAAATGTAATATTTTTACACTTTTCATATTATGTCCTCCTCCTGATGTCTAGGGGTGCTGGTACATTGTAATTCCTTAGTAAATATTCCATAAAACACATGACAATAAATGTTATTCCTTGGAGAAAACAACAATGACTCATAAAACATGAGCCCCAACCTCGAAAGTTACATTTCTTTTGAGAGGCCTGTGGTAGAGGAGAAATAACCTTTGACTTGAAGCAGAAGACCTGAGTTCAAGGATTGATTTTGCTACTTTCCAGCAGAGAGGATTCACTTCCTATATTGAACCTTGATATCTTGATCTGCCAAATGAAGAAGCTGGATTAACAACCTTTTATCATCCCTTCCAACTTTAAAGACATTATAACTCTAGAAACTGTGACATCCTTTAACATTTTAAACCTGACTTCCCCTCCTTAAACATTTTCGTCTTGTTATTTGAGTTTATCAGCTCAGAGTTTGTTTAATTTTCATGCTTTGAACCATGGAAGAAAAAATAATCTTCTACTTGATTTCTTACCAACTCCAAGACCACATGAAAGATCTCATTTGCATGAAAATGCAAGAGCAGAGTTTCAGACGGAGGGACATGGAAACATTTGTAAACTTTTACTTGGAAACTTTTGGTATCTGTGTGGAGTGTGGTCCAGCCTGGGCAGTGGGACACAATTCTGAGATACCCAGTTGCTGAGCTGGGTCACTGGACATCTCTTTCCCTTTGCAGTATTTGTCAGCACAGGTCCTCTATCAGATGGCCAGGAGAGGTCCTGCTGCCATAAGAACCCCCCCGAGGTCCCTGTGCCTACTCAGTGGAGGTCCAGTCCTCTCTCTTGCACAGTTCTTTGTGAGGTTGCGCACCTTTCCAGGGTGAGGTTGCTGCCCTCGGTCCCCAGCTGCGAGGCTTGTGAGGGCCATGTGTGCTTTCGTGTTCTCTGTGGCAGAAGAACAGGTTGCTGGTGAGCTTGGGGTTGACAGTTCCATGCTCTGGCTTCAGTGGTCACAGTCACTTTTGCTTATGCTTTACTGGCCAAACCAGGTCACATGGCCATGCCTACTTTGAAGAGAAAGGGGACAAATATGGGTAAAATACTTCAAGATTCTATTACAGATTTTTTTTTTTTTTTGGTCAGAAGAACAAAAGTCCCTGGCAACATGGATTAATTATAACTTGGCTTATGTGTTCCACTGGAAGCGTCTCAAGGGTGGGAGATGATCCATCACTCAGAAGTTGTCTCTGACTAGCAAACAGGAAACAGAAAGGAACCGAAGGGAAAGAGCAGGAAGCTAAGCATCCTGGGTGAGCAGTGCCTTCAGCTGTCCAGGGTGTGGGATGCAAGTGGAGACAGCGGGCTCCTCTCCCTGTCTGGCCTCCTTTTCTGGCCAGCTGCGTGACTGCAAGCAGCCCCCTCCCTCCTCAATCTCAGTTTCCACACCTGTAAAATAGTGGTAACATTACCTATTGCAAAGGGTTGCCTGAATTAATACAGGTAAAGAGCATGGAGTGGTGCCTGATGTGTGCGAAATGCTCAGTAAATGTTACCTATCATTTTGCTTTGCCCTTTACCTGTTAAGTTGGCTGTAAATCCCTACAACCACAAGATGCCCTCGGACATTCAGCCCGTGTGGCTGAAAGCGTGAGTCTCTGGGGGCAGCACTCAGGGAGGGGTGTGATGACTTAGAAGCTGGAGAAGTCGGTCCTGCCTTCCCTCTAGGCTCCTGGGTGACACTGAGTCCTAATGGAATGGCAGAGACTTTGAGAGGGCCTGTGCACGCTTTCTACAAAGCTATTGGAGGAAATCCTTCCTTCTAGGCTTTGGCCTGGGAGGTCCCTCTCAGAGACTTGGGGCCTCAGAACTTTGAAAGAATGGAACCAAAGCAGAGGTCTCTCCTGGGAGCCCTGGGAAATGGGGCTGTGTAGTCTAGGGAGGAATCTTGCTGTCTCTTCGTTTAGGCAGGAAAATTAATGGAATTTAATAAGTCACCTTGCAGTGACCTGAGAATCCCGGATTCTCAGACGAGCCCTGCAAATATGCAGGTTGCATTGAGACATTCAAATTCTCTAAACAGGGCTTCTTGTAACTTGTGCGTTCATATGTTGCTGCTGCAAAACTATGAATTTTCTGATTTTGTCACACCCTGATTAAAAAACACAGTTGTATGCACTCTCGCTGGCTGAATCGCAGAAGCAATTTCTTATACAATTGAAATCCATATTTCAATGAGTTTCTTCAGGCATGCTCTCTCTGGGAGCTGCCTGTGAGTCTGCCGTGGATGTGTGACTGGGGAACCTGGCATTTTAGACCTCGAGCAGTGGGAGACACTGCCCATCTCTCCATCATTTTTGACTGAATGATGGCAAAAGTCATCAAGAGTGGATGGAATGATGGCCTCATCTGCGTGAATATATGCACATTTAAAATGCTAAGGTCAGACAAGACTGACTGGAAGGATGGCATGGAGGTGTGGGGCTGACATTTACAACACCCAGAGGGCTGTGGGCCAGGCTCGGGGAAGACATTTGAGGGCATTTGGAGCTCACAAATCAGGGCAGTTTGCTCCAGAGCTGGGGAGAGTCAAGGGTATCTGGAAAGCGGTGCCTTCATCTCCGCAAAAAGAGTCTGCTGGGAAGGGTCAAGGGCAGACCCCCAGACAGTGCCCAAGGACTACTTTAGGGAGATAAGGATGAGTGAAAGCCCTGCTGAAGGCAACGGTTAGAAAAGTGAGGTTTCCACACCAGCATCTATCACACCGGGATGAGGCCTCGCCAACAGAAACAGCCTCGCTTCATTGGGAATTGGTACAAAGAGTGGGAGGGGCTTTATGTGGACCAGGTAAGGGCAGAAGTGGAAAATGGTCTAGAACGTCCCAGAGTGCATCTCAGGGCGCTGGCTGTGCTGGTTCTCAGGATGCTGATACCCACCCCCTCTTGCTGCTGTTTTTCAGGAAGACCCTTCTGGAGCACGGCCAGAGCTCCGAGGCCTTTGTCTTGGAAGGAGAGGCTCCTACCAGCCTTGCAGTTCACCAGTGGTGATCTTAGTGGGGACCTACCATCCATGCATGAGTTTTAATTTGTATTCTATGATTCAGAAACATGAATTAGGGAGCTTGTCTCTCTTCCTCCCTTAGGCACTCCAGTTCCCTCATTGCCCTGTCCATTTTTCCTTGAAAACAAATCGGTGTGGTCAGTAAGTCCAATATCAGTGGCAGCAGGCAAGGGCAGTAAGGCTTCCTTGTAGTCTGTAGCTTTCCAGACCTCTGAAGGATTCTGTTTAAACCTCTTCTAGGAATCATAAAATCTTCTGCAATCTGGACTCATCAGTTATAGAACCCTGTGAGTACCTTTCAGCGAGAGGACTCCTCTTGGTTTGAGGCTAGGTGTGGAGGTAACTGTGGGCAGCAGGTGGGGGGATTATTTGTGTATCTTGGGGTACAGCAATTTATACATACTTCTTTCCCCCAACCACACAGCAAACTCTTTGATGGCAAGAATTGTCTTCCTTTCGATCCCCATTTCTTAGTCTCATATCTAATACTTAACTGATGCTCAGTAATTATTTATTTAGTTAATTGTGAGCTGCAAGCAATAAACCTTATGAAAACAAGGCACATGCCTTTATCTGTGAGAGCTTCATTAATTCACTACTCAGTTTATATCTTGAATATAAATTTATGCAATTTATATCAGAAATAAGGCTCAGAAATAACACTGTCTTGGGCACTACCGTCTTTAGAGTTTTTCTGTTTTTGCTGCTCCCTCCTCATGACCTTAGACTTGGACAGGAGTTCTTGCTGTTGGGGTCCAGATCTCCCAGATGAGGCTTCAAAGTGCCCCTTCCCTCCATCAAAGGGCCTGCTACCAGGTCCCTTCCAGGGGTTTCCTTGCTCCCTCTGGCAAAATAACTCCTCACAGCAGGCCAGGTTCTCCAGCACCCAGATGTCCCTGGCCCATCACAGTTCTAGTGTGAGGTTGCTATTCTCGGGATTTTAAATAGATGGTAACACTTAGGATCTTCTATCCTTGCATGGTGCTTGTGGTATGTGGTGACGATGGGGGCAGGGCCACAGCTCGGGAAGGGACTCAGTAGGGTGTCATGCATACAGATCAGTGTTAACTTCAGCTCTATTAAACATCTTTATTAATGATCTGGAAATGGGGTGTAAACAGAACATTAATTAAATGGCTGAATACTAAATTGGGAGGTGTTGCAAAAGATGGACTAATCATTTTATCATTTACTCAGCGTGCAGAACTTGTATAATTTGGTGTATTTACTGGTCAAAAGTGGGGCATATCTTTGTTGACAACACTATTGGCTCAGTGTGTAGCTGGCATTTTGGTTGAGTTTCTTTATGTGCATATTCTTACTCTTGTGCCTTTCTATTTAAGTTAGTTTCAGAATGATGAGTCATCCTATTTGTATATTAAGGACTCAAGTAGAATGAAAATATTTTTGGAAGAATGAGGTGGAATAAACAGAAGCAGGAACAGAGAGTAACATGCAGTAGTTGAGGTCAGCTAAGTCAATTGCTTGGAGACCCAAGTCTTCTATCCTGACTCCTGTGGGGTCTGTTCTGTTTTCTCAGACTGCTTCTGTTCTTCTAGCAAGTGAAGTGCCTCACAGATTTACCTCTTTGGAAGGGCTTGCTGAGAGCAGTATTAAACTCAACACACACTTGATTCCATGGTGTAGATTTGGGATTAGGAGACCTGGACTTTAATTTGTGTTCTTGCATTTTTCTGGTTATGTAGCTTTGAGGAAGTCATTTAACCTCTCTGAGCCTTTGTTTCTTTATCCCTGGAAGGGAAGATGATATATGTCTCCCAGGGTAATGCCACGAGTTTGAAGCGAAGTGATATTCTTGAAAGAATTTTGCGAACTGTAAAACTGTGCAAAAGTTAGTATGACATTGGATTAATTCTCAAACAATGAGGAGTATTATTGCTGTGCATATAAAGCACTCCAAATAATTACCAGCAGAATGGCCAAGAACATTTAGAAATATGGATAGGAAATTCAGTTTGGAAAAATGCTAGTCAATACTTAGGGACATGAGAAAATTGGCAGGGTTTTGAGTTGGCAAAAGTAATGAACTATTTTTCTAATGCTTGGGTTCAACAAACTAAAATGAGTTTGCCAAGCACCTTTTCTTATAAATTTTGCAGCCTTTGTTTGTTTCAGCTAGCACATGATCCATAAGCTTCTGATTCACTGACACTTAATTTGCTAAAAGGCTATTTGTTAGCAGCAATCAGATGTTTTGGAAACCTGCTGGGCCCACTGCAAAGACGCTGCCCAGATTCCGTTCTTCAGAATCTTTACTAGCTGGGTGCATAAGAGACATCTGAGTGTATTTAAGAATCATTTTGTCAAACTCCTATCCTTTTAAACTTCTTGTTATGCTTCTTATATGCTGTACATACTGTCATTCCTGCTATTCAGCAGGAATATTTTAAATATATTTGTGATTGATTCCTGCAACTTATCCTTCTTTCTCTTAGTAGTTCTGACTTACAAGGTTTAAACGAAAAGATATGCACTAGATACAGATTAGATTAGAAACTTTACTAATAGGAAGGTGGGTAGGAGAATGCAGCTCAGACCTGGGGCCTGTGGAGAGCTTGCTGCTCCTTGACTCTCCGTGGGTGGGTGCCAGCCTTGCTTGTCTGGTGCACACTGTGAAATGCAGGGCTGGCAAGAGCTCGGGCCCAGCCAGGCCTGCAGACCCTGTTCATGTGGGCCCAGCTGAGGAGGCTGCATTCTGTTTTGGCTTTAACTGGTCATTTTTGTTAATCATCTCTCCTCTCTTCTTCCTGAGGGGACGAGAGAATTCTAGGGGAGAAAGGAGCCAGAAGGTTTGATCTCAGTACTGCTCCCCTCTGGGAAGTCAAGAGAAGTCCATTCTCTCTCATGGAGAGAGGAGTGCGTGCCAGCATCCCACCGGGTTCTTTAGGGCAGGCCATGTGGGTGCTGCCAGCTGCCTTGGAGTCCACGCCTGCCTCTTCTGGCTTTGCGCTGGTCACTCTTCCCATCTCACCACTTGGGGCTGGCTCAGACTGAGGAGCTTCTCTTCCAAGCTGGAGAATGTGAGGATCAGAGACAGAAGGTTCATGACTGTAGACTCTACCCTCTGATCCACTTCAGGGGAAGCTGGTGGGGACTTGCATCTGAGTGCTTGAGGAAGAGATGGGAAGGGCGGGCAGGGAAGAGGCTGGGAGGAGGAGGAATTCATTTGTGTTCAGCATCTTCCACGCCAGGTACTGGGCTAAACTCGCATTGGCACGTTTAAAAGGAGGGTTGCAGGAGATTTGCAGCTCCCAGGTGCGGCCGGAGAGAGCTCTCTGTCTTCACTTTCCACAGCCTAGGTTTCAACTCAACGCAGAGGGGAATGGGACTCATTTTCCCTTTTTTAATATAGCATTCTATCTCCATGATTAAAGGGATACAAAACACACTGTGGGAATTTTAGGAAATGCTGAAACATGAAATAGAGGAAAAAATAAAGATCAGTCTGCAATTCACCTCTCCAGAGATGCCATTAACATTTAATTTCTTTATTTCCTTCCAGTCTGTTTTCTAGTTGTGTTTTTATCATAGAAGGAGTAGTGTACATTTACATAAACCTAAGGCCACACTGCGTAAACAGTTTTCTATTTTGCAGTTAACTTTTTATATCATAAGCCCTTTTCCATGCCTTTAAATATTTCTCAACGACCCATTTTTTAATGGCAGGCTAGTATTTCTTTCTTGTTTCCAAATTTGCAGCATGGTAATTATGACTTAATTACTCTCCCTGTATGTGCTGACTGTGAGTCTCTGACTTTTCTTTAGGATAAATTCCTAGAGATGAAATTACGGGGTCAAGTGGTAGAACACTTTTAAGCTTTTTTCCCACCAAGTATATATTGCTATTCTACATCAAAAAAACTTGAGATATTTTCACCATTTTATGTGAGAATGTCCATTTCTCTGCACTTTGATAGCACAGTATATCACTGTTGTAGATGATGATGATTTTTAGAGACAGGGTCTCACTGTGTAGCTCAGGCTGGACTTTATCTCCTGGGCCCAGGCGATCCTCCCACATCAGCTCCCAAGTAGCTGGGAGTACAGGCGTGTGCCACTTGTATTATTATTTTTAAGTCCTCTCCCTTACTTTTGATGCAATTTAAATTCTGTTGTTAAGGATGCTGAGTTTGTGAGACCAGACGGATGCTCCTGAAGACACAGCCAGCTGCGGGGGCCCGAGTACCCACCAAGCTCCCTCTGGAGCTTGTCACTCTTCCTCTGGGTACTCCTTCGAGGTGCCCATCCCCTCCTGGGAGCATGACCAGGTCTCTTTCTGCCCTCAGCCATGGTGTGGGCTCCAGCCCACACCCCTGCCTTCCCGCAGCTGCTCACCACACATTCTGCCCCTGAGTCCCTGCTGAAAGGCCCCAGGGACATCTCCAGTGGCCGAGCCTACTCCTAGCTCAGAATTTGTTTGCTTATCAGATCCTTTGCAGTGCCGGGCTTCCCTTCTGCATGAGCGTGCTGGTTTGGGAGACTTTATTCAAATTGGAGTTCGGAGGCATAGGAGAGTGCGGCTGAGCTGTGGCTGCTCCTACAGATGCCCCGTCAGCATCCTTCTGAGGCACCCTCACCCTAGCCTGCAAATCAGGGCCATAGGCAAGTTGGAGAGGCCCAGCCACTCCGCGCCCGAGTCCTGGCAGCATGCCAGCAGCGATGGCACCTGGGAGCAGAGGACCCGCAGGGCCTGCACTCACGTTCACTTTGCACGTCCTCCCGCAGGAAGGTCTGCTAGGAGGAGAGCTTTTCCTTTTTCATTGTAAATGAGAAATTCTTTCCAAAATAAGAGCAGCACCAACTTCAGGAAGCCAGACCAACTCAACGGAATAATACAAATATACATCTACACATTAGGTGGAAAATGATGCAGAATACGGTGACACACACTGACACAGTCCATGGGACCCAGCAAAGCCTGTGATGGAAAACTCTCCTCTTCTTCCACCGGTGTCCAAAGGCCTCCTTTGAAAGCTCTGCATCCTCCTCCCCCTGGCACGGCTGTGTTTCCCCTTGACCTGCATGCCTCCCACCACCCTGCACACTGGGTGGGGTGGGCCCTCCGCCCCCTCACTCCATCTGAGGGGTCCTGTTCCCCATGTTCTGACCTTGTAGCAGTCCTCCTTCTCTATGCATCTGGGCCAGTGCTGCCTCCCCCGCAGACTCCAAATTCACCCACATCCCACCCTTCCTCTCATCCCCTTCTCTTGTCTCCATTGCTGGGGATTGGGTGGTGAGAGGAAAGATGTATTGATTTTTCTCTCTTGTTTCTGAGTATCTCTGCGCAGAACACATTTGACACCTTTTCCCAACCTCTGCTTCCTAAGGGGTTGGAGGATGGAGGAGAGAACCAGGCTGTTTTATCTTTGTGACTGCAAATGAATTATGCATTTGGCAACCTTTCTCTTTTAACCGTCCCATTCCAATTGCCCCATGGGGGTAAAATTTCTAGGATTCTAAACCAGAAAAATAGCTTAGGAGGATACTATCACTGAGAAATATGTAACCTCCATATAAATGAAAATTATTATCTTGGTATCCTGAGCTCAAGGGGTGAGTGAAGGCATTTGGTCTGTCTTCACCTGTGTCCTGGCACTAACCCTGCTGGATTCAGATCACAAGATGTTGGGCTGGACTGCGGGGTCACTTGCAGCCACTCGTTGGATTTTTCTTTAGTTCATCTCAGGAGCCCCTTGGGCATGTTGTCTCTAGTATCTCTTGATTGCCTGGAGTTTTCATAATTGGCTCAGAGCTCGTCATTCGGCAGATGGTACTTAAGACTGGAAGAGTAGCCCTCTGTGAGCTTAAGAGACTCTGACGAGTAGTATGAAGGGGATGTCCCCAGTAAAACCAGTTAAATAGGACTTGGGGGGAAAGCTTCGTCTTCATCATGTTGCATACCCCTCGAAATTTATTTTATTTTTTATTGTGGTAAAATATCCATAGCATAAAACTTAATGATGTTGGCTGTTTGTAGGTGTACAGTTTGGTGGCATTAAGTACATTCAAATCCTTGGGCAATTGTCCCTACCCCCATCTCCAGAACATACTCATCTTCCCAAACTGACATCTGTCCCCATTAAACACTGACTCCGTGTCCACAATGCCGCAGTCTCAGGTTAACCGCCCTTCTCCTTTCAGGCAGTGCTTTCTTCAATGTTCGTATAAATGCTTGAAGTTGAATCCTGTCTCACATAATATGGCCCTAGTAGCAGTGTGCCCATCTGAATCTGGCTACGTCATCCTCAGGAAGCGGGCAGTTGTGTTTAGTGGCTAGTGGCATCCACCTAGGGACGTCTGTCCCAGGCCTGCTCAGTCTTGCCTGTCCTCAGGGGACTTGGGTCCCCAAACCCTGCACTGAGGTGAGCCTGGGCACCTGGGTTCTAGGCATCATGACCCTGCCCTCCTCGACCCTGAGCTGACTGAGGGTTGGGGAGCCCCTGACCCAAAGCCAGGCCAGCCATGGCCCAGCCAGCTCTGATCCTCCTCTGTGGGGCCAGGACACCTCTGTAAGGGGCCATCAGCTACTTCTTTCAAGAAGCTGGAAACTGAGACCCAGTTGCTGAGGCTCTGAGGCAAACATCCTGGAAGGAAGGTGTCTTCGGCGTGGGGCTTCCATAGCAAATACCACAGACTGGGCACCTTAAACAACAGGAAATTATTTTCCCACAGTTCTGGAGGCTGGAAGTCCCAGATCAAGGAGTTGTCAGGGTGGGTTTCTCCTGAGGCCTCCCTCCTTGCCTCTCCCCTGCATCTCTTCACATCGTTTTCCCTCCGTGCGTGCCCATCTCTGTGTCCACATGTCCCCTTTTGTAAGGACACTACTGAGGTTGGATTAGGGCCCGCCACCCTAGTGGCCTCATCCTCCCTCGGTGACATCAGTAAATCTGCCTGTCCCCACATGCAGCCCCATTCTGAGGGCCTTACTGGGCTGGAACTTAAGCACGTGGGTTTTGGGAGGTCCGGCTTAGGGCACCATCCTGGGTGCTGCAGGTCCTGAGGATGCCCGGTGTGTAAGGAAGGAACATGGAGCCCAGCAGGCGGAGTGCAGAGGGGGCAGCTTGCACCGTGTGGGGCCCCAGGGAGGCGGGCGGGCAGGCACACTCCCAACTTTTCAGGGGTGGTTCCAGATGGTTTCCATTTCCTTGAAGAAACCCAAGAAGACCTCCTTTCCTTGCACTGAAGGGGTCCTGCCAGGTGAGCTGCATGGCCCCACTCTGCCAGGGGCGCAGCTGGGATGGGTGTGGAGAGTAGCCACGTCGGGCATGCAGACATGTGTCTCAGCAGCCGTCCTCCTGCACAGCGGGGCGTATGACAGGCGGGCAGAGAGTCAGTCAGCAAAGCCACCAAGTCTCCCCAGACTTACAACTTCCAGTTCTAATTTGTATTTGTTGTGCTTTGGGATGGTGGTGATTAGTGTCATTTGCTGAAGCCTCCAAAAAATAATTCCCCCCACTTTTTTTTTTTTTTTTTTTTAGTGAAATGTAGTTTTTCAGGCAAACTGTGGTACCCACCCCCATGTTTGTTAGAAAGTTGGACAAAATGTCATCCAGCCGGCAGCTTGGAAAGGAGCTCTGAGCAGTTGGTGGAGGCTCGGTGGGTATTTCCCAGCCATCTAGAACAGAGACTCTATCCTTGCGTGTGCTAGGAACAGCTCAGCCCCATCCCTGTGGCTTCATGGTGGGGTCTCCTGGTTAGAGTCCCAGCTCAGATGCCTCTCTCCACCTTCCCCGACCCGAGGGCGTCAGGGCCTCCACTGTGCCTCCTTCCTGGCTGCCTTATGCTGTGAGCCTTGTCTTGTCGTCGTTTGAACTTCCCCTGGAAACTCTCTATTAGATTTAGAGAACAAAAACAGCCAGTGAAAAATCATAGTTGAAATTTTACAAAGGAATTACATTTTGTATTGCTTTAAAGAATGCATAGTATTCTGATACTAGAGTAACAAAACAGTAAGAGACAGATGTCTTTAGGCAACTATTTAATGAATAAATGAGAGTGATTGAATGGGAGCGTTTAAATTGGGCATTTTCTGTGCAATATTAATTATACTGCATGCTTAGTAAATTCCTTTTTCAAAGATAGTTCAAAGGCAGATGTCAATCTGGTTCTGCCCAGGTTATGTGTCTGCATACATAAACAACTTCCAAATGAATAGAGCATGCGTTAATAAGGTTTTACTAATCTTGGCCACAGGCAGTATTTAAGTCAGCTGTGTTTGACCTCTACCACACTGGACATAAGAAGATTCATTTAAAAGTGGTGTGGCTAAAACTGATCTTTTGAATGGGCTACATTGTACAGGCATTTCAGCTACACTTAATTTTAAAGTGAGGCTTCTCCAGTGGGACCCTAGGATCTGGAGCTTAAACTCTGGAGCATGTTTCCTTTTGTTGGCTGCAAAATAAATGGCTTCTGGATAGAGCAGGCTTGCAGGGAGCCTGGGCCTCCTGGGAGTGCAGGACTGCTTTGGTGATGGGCATGACCCAGGCTTTGAGAAGCCTCTGAGAGTGACTTGTGATGACCTACGTGGGTGATCTATGTGCAGAGCTATGCAGGAGCTGTCAGCAGCCACAGGGGCATGTGCTAGATCTGCCGTGTCTGTCTCTTGTTTTCATGCTGGTATGCTCTCATCAGGCAGGAATGTTGTCTTTTCTGATTAAATTGTGTATGGGCCAGAAGGTGACGATAGGAGAGAAGCTATATACAAGCAACGCTGTCACTCGGCGGGCTCAGGGCTTTTGGCCTGAGAAGACTAAATGACGTAATGGAAAGACCTGGGCTAGAACCTTAGCTCTGTCCTCCAGTAAACGGATGACTTTGGGCCATTTGGTTTCACCTCTTTGCACCTTGGTTTTGTCATTTATAAAACATGGAACAAATAGCTAATAAGGTCAGAATGAAGATTTCTTTTCTTGTTTTTTTTTTTTTTTTTTTGAGACAGCGTCCTGTTCTGTCACCCAGGCTAGAGTGCAGTGGTGCAATCATAGCTCACTGCAGCCTCGAACTCCTGGGCTCCAGGGATCCTCTCATCTCAGCCTTCTGAGTAGCTGGGACTACAGGCACACATCACCATGCCTGGCTGATCGTTTTTATTTCCTTGTAGAGATGGGGTTTTGCTATGTTGCTCAGGCTGGTTTTGAACTCCTGGCCTCAGGGGATCCTCCTGTCTCAGTGTCCCAAAGTGCTGAGATTACAGGTGTGAGCCACCGCTCCTGGCATGATTCCATTATTTAATGTGTATAAATCCCTATTCCAGTGCCTGACACATGGTTGGTGTTCAGTACATAACTATCATCATCATGGTCTGTTTAATTTGGATCTATCTCTATTTTTTGTCTTTTTCTATTTCCCATTTTCCAGTATTCTGAGGGATGGTCATCCTCCTTGCAGAGACAGTTTGCCTGACAGGGTTGGAAGCCCCCACACTGGGAGTGAGTTAGGAACTGCGTTCTTGCCCCTGTGCTGGCTGCAGAGTTCTGGATAGGATATTTGAAAATCCCTGAAAGTGGGGTGCTGTATTAGTCTGTTCTCACACTGCTATTAAAGACATACCCAAGACTGGGTAATTTATAAAGGAAAGAGGTTTAATTGACTCACAGTTCCACATGGCTGGGGAGGCCTCACAATCATGGTGGAAGGTAAATGAGCAGCAAAGTCACGTCTTACATGGCAGCAGGCCAGAGAGTTTGGGTAGGGACTCCCCTTTATAAAACCACCAGATCTCGTGAGACTTAGTCACTATCACGAGAACAGCATGGGAAAGGTCTGCCCTCACTGGCTCTCCCCTGTGACACGTGGGAGTTATGGAAGCTACAATTCAAGATGAGATTTGGGTGGGGACACAGCCAAACCATATCAGGTGCAGACAAGGTCCCCTCTACGGTGTCATCCTGTTCTAAATGTTGACATGAGCCCTGCAGAGTATTCATATTACATTTTGAAAATTGTTTCCCTCATGACTGAGCATTTACTTACTGTTGGATAATAAATCAGATGCTATCCATCTTGGCCAGGAGTGTTAAGAACAGTCTAGAAAGTTCTGCCTGGGAACCCCCCGAGTCCTGTGCTTCAGTTTTGCCTCAGGACTTGGTGTCTGGACACTTGTGCCCTTTCTCAGGTGAGCCCCACCCAGATCGAGGGCATCAGGTCCAGGAACAGGAGGGGCTTCCCCAGCTTATGGGAGGGAAAACTCAACACTGCTGTCTTCATAGAGATGGTTTTGCAATTGGGAATATTCTCTTTAAAAACTCAGAAAATTTCTAGGTAAAACAAGTAAGTTGTGTGATTTTTCCAGCAAGCGTAGAAAAAAGCCAAAACAAAACAGTGCATGCTCTTATCCCTCCATCTTAATACCTCTGAAGAAACAAAGCATGAAGGTTTCATATTCAGAGTTCAAGGAAGAAAAGTTGCTCTGTGATGGTTATTATTTTAAAGGTTTGAAGAGCTATGTATCCCATTTGTATGTGTGGTGAGCTTTGAAGCTAAAATGCAGAGGGATAGAGATGTTGTCCACGAGGGAGTGCCTTAGGGTTGCTCCCAGAGACCAAGGCTTGGCTGGCAGCATGCGGGTCTGACTCGGTGACCCTGACCACCTTAGGTGTGTTCACCTGGGAGAGGAAACCAGGGAGGAACACGGGGGACGTGGGGTCCAATCTTCATGTTCCTGAACAGAACCTGTACTTTTCTGGACCATAAACTCCTGCTCAGCTTTGTCCCCTGGGTTTCTTCAAAGTGGTCACCGTTCACTGGGATGCTCTTCCTGTGCCTTAGCTTGGAGCGGGTCGGGGGCTGCAAACCTCTGGTTCTCATGGGTCCATTCTGTCTGGGGAGCATCAATCAGGATTATGGTCCCATTGCCACCAACAAGCAGAAAGGAGCCACGATGACCACACTGCATGGCTTGTTTGGTCCTGGCTGTGGAGACGCGTGCACCCTTTTCACCTCTCTCCATTAGAGAACAAAATTAAGTAAGCAGAGGTCTGGACTTAAGTCTTCATTTGCTCTTCGAGCTGTGCCACCGTGGGCTGGCTTCTGGGCTCCTCTGGTTTTCAGTTTGCTCACCTGTGAAAGGAGAATAAGAGCACCGCTGGCTTCCCTGGATGGTGGTGAGAACAGAGTGAGGTCATGGGTGTGCAGCATGTCCCAAGCTGCTCTTGTCCTAGGAATGCCGCCAGCATGGGTGGGTCTATGTTTGAACCCAAGTGGTGTTTACTGAAAGGTTCAGACCCACCTGGGGGACCTGAGCATGCTTCCCTGTGGCTCTCTGGGCCTAAGGACACGCAGAGCACCCTGAAAACAAGCCTAACAAAGTAAAAAGGTGGGAAGCTTGAGAAACATCAGGACATGCGAGTGGAGGAGAGGAGGCAGGGGCTCTGAGTGTGGGCTTGCAGCGTCTCTCCTGGTGGCCCAGCCACTCCTCACTCTCAGCACACAAACCGGGGAGGCCGCAGCAAAACCAAAGGCAAAGAACGGCCTCCTGAGACCTTGGTGGGGCAGGGGGGCTGGGCGGCCTCGCAGGGACCCCTCCGACAGCCACGGTGCTAAGTGGCAGAGAGGCCTCCTCTCAGCTGGCTGAGGGCGGGGGCTCCAGCAGGGCTGGCAGCCTGTCCTGGAGCACAGCCCGTGCCCAAAGTGGCTCCCACACCAAGCGTGGTGGGAGCTGGGCCGCACTGGGGGATGGGACTGGCTGCTCTGGAAGCATCGAGAAGTAGTGTCCTCCAGAGGAGGTAGAACCAGAGATCTCGCAGGTACGAGGGGAACAGATGGGGTGAGGGGCCGGGGGATGTCACTGCTGCAGATCGCCCCAGTGGAGGCCAGGAAGGCAGAGGAGGCAGACAGAGGGGCCCTGTGGGCACCCGCAGAGCAGTTTTATAAATATGTCCCCGCTGGGACACCAAAGAATTTGGGGGAGGGTGGAAGCCCTGCAGGTTCAGGGGAGGGTTAGGGCAAGACAAAATAAACAGCATCCATTTCTCTTAATAGTGACCCTCCTTGTAGAATCTGCTTGGAATAGCCTTGGGGAGCATGCATTGTGAGTTACTTGTTATTAATATCTAGTTCTCAAAATACTTTCCCCTTTCAAAAAGCTGTGCGTATGCATTCTTGTCACCCATTGACAGTGCCTGCCTTCTTGATAGCTCACAGACATCAAAATGGCTTTTTCTTCACTGTCAGGGCTGCAAAGCGCATAGGGTGGGCACATTGCCACGGTTGGTCCATAGAGCAGTCTACTAGCAAATGCTTCAGAAGTTTCATTAGCTAGGAGCGGGGAGGATGTTAGGAGGTGCAGGATTCTTCTCTGTCTTAAAGGACTTACAATCTGGTTGGGAAAATAAACCCTACACAGGCAAAAAGCAATTAATATTTGCTTTGAAATTCAGAGATGGATGGTTCCATGGAGCCCTAGCACCCTTATCAGAGAAGGGCGATGCCACCATCACAAACCTCCCCTGATAAGAGGAAGAGATGGGTTTGCCATTACCCTGAGCACAGAAGGCAGTTTCCCTGGAATTCTAATGCATTGCAATGAGGCTTAACATATCAATTTTTAAAAAATGGTCATGCGTCTGTTTGAAAACAAACCTGAGAGTTAGCTGTATATAAATGCACACGCGTCGTCTATTTCTAATACCCACACTCGCTTTATTTCTAGGTTTCCTTTTTCTGCCCCCTCCTTTTTGGTGCATATTTAACACTCACGTTATTGCAAAGCAGCCTGGGATGAGCCACTTAGGACCATCTTGGCTCCCATTACACTTATGTCTCTTAGTTAAGGATGCTAATTCTCGCAACTCCTCATCTGCCTCTGTACTCCTCTGGATTCTTAAGGCGATGCTAATCAGTTCTCGCTCCACAGCTGTCTCCCACCCCTCACGGTGACGGTGGGGACTTTCCTGCACCACGGCAATCCCTCAAGTCTGCCTCCCTCCCTGTCCTCCCATCCATTCGGCTTCTCTTCAACCAGGACTTCTCGTGGGCTAACTGCCTGGAGTCCAGATTCCCCTGTTCAACTGCTTGCCAAGACTTCGCGCCAAGCCATTCGTGCTGGGTGCTCTGGAGAATGAATGAGGGAAGGAACCGAGCAGGCCTGCTTTGTTGTGTTGTAGTTGGGTCGCTTGACAGCGCCGTGTGTGAGGCAGGAGGGCATGTGGGCAAGCTGGGACATCATCACAGCCTCCCTCCCACGGCCTGGCACCCCTTCATCCCACAGAGGCCAGAGTCCCCACTCGCAAATGCCTGGCCCAGCACATGCTGCGAAGAGGCCGTGGGTAGTTTCCTCTGGAAGCAATTCATTCTCATTGCTGTCTGGGGTTTCCTCCCTCTGAATGTTCTGCTGATTTTTCGCCGCACCACAAGCCTCAACGCGGCATGCGCCAGGTGCCCCAGGCTTCCCCCGGCTGCGCCTTCCTTGCTGTGAGTGCCACAGCAGCCGGTGCTCCTCCAGGCCATGGCTGCAAAAAGGGAAAGGGAGAAAAAAGATTCGAGTTTGTCACAGTGGAACCCAAAGCTTGGTAGTCGGATGACATCCCCATAATTGAAGTATTTATGTGTCTAAATATTTCACTGTCGTCGGCAAGTAAACACGAGGTGCGTGTGGGTGAATCTTTCACACCCAGGCAGCCGCCTACTCAGGCGGGCCCACACTTGTAACCTTGTGGCTTTTCTTGGAACACTGGAAGGATTTTCTCTCCTTGAGTTCCCATTAATTTAAATCAAAACTAAAGTTCACGGTGTCTCTCTTCTGCTGGTGACATTTTCCACTTCACACATTGTCAACCTCATTTAACATGTTGCTACTCGGCTGCGGTCACCTCCGCGGGAACGGCACACCCAAACAGCAGCAGCTTTTCTTCCTGCCCTTCAGACTCCTCTCTTCCTCCCACCTCCTCCTCCTCCCTCCTCCTCCCTCCCCGCAGCCCTAATCCAGGCAGGAATTCGGGCCTGCGCGGCCCTGCCCACCGTGGCAGCCAGGGATGTCCAGCCCTGGTCTCTGTTCTCCAGGGCGTTTCCACGGGACCCAGGTGTCGGAAATGCCTCACAATAAAATGAACCTAAACAACGTATCCCTGTGGTGGAGCAGTCCCTGGAAGGCAGGAGAGAAAGGCCAGATGGAACACTGAACAAAGGAAAGGAGGAGGCGATGATCCCCAAATGAAGGGCGACTGATTGTCCTCGGGCCAAGTTAGGGCTAGAGTAATATTCGGTTGTGATGTCTGGAGACATATTTAAAAATACAACTACTGTTGGCTGGGTGTGGTGGCTCACGCTCGTAATCCCAGCACTTTGGGAGGCTGAGGCAGGTGGATCACTGGAGGCCAGGACTTTGAGACCAGCCTGGCCAACATGGCAAAACCATGTCTCTACTAAAAGTACAAAAATTAGCCAGGCTGGTGGCATATGCCTGTTATGCCAGCTACTTGGGAGGCTGAAGCACTAGAATTGTCTGAGCCCGGGAGGCGGAGGTTGCAGTGAGCCAAGATTGTGCCACTGCACTCCAGCCTGGGCAACAAAATTCAGATTTCTAGCTTCTCTGTAAAGACGGATCTGCCAGCTCAGGCCTGCGTTTCCTTGTGGCCTTTGCTGGGCCTGCACTCCCAACGCGCCGCCCTCCTCGCAGCCTTAGCTCTGTTGCGGACCTGAGCTTTTCAACTTTTGCCAGTCAAGCCGCGTGCTGCCACCTGCATGCTCCCTTTGCACAGAAGCTAGAGGAAAGGCCTGCACACTCAGACTACTTGATCCAGGCCCATTTCATTGCATGCTTGGGTTACGTATGTAGCCTTTGCATACTTCCCCTAATATAAGAAGGCAGGCTTTAGGAGGGAGTCTGGGTTTCCTTCATAAAGTCAAATATCCCACCAAGAGCAGCATTCAACAGAAACATTCCATAGCAGGTGCTAGTGTGGCTCCGGCCTCTCTCTCCCTCACCAGGATGCTGGTTCTGTGGGGCAGGGGCTTGGTCTCAACTGTTGCCACACCACCAGAGACTGGGCGCGGAGAGGGCCACGCTTGTCTGAAATGTCAAGTAAATGAGAATACAACAGAGAATACGAAGGGTCTCTTCTCTTCAGGTGGACGTCTAAATCAGAATCAGAAGACGGGAGGAATTTTTCCAGCTGAGGTCAGAATGAGAAGGCGTGGCCCGGCACAGCAGGAGCAAGGGCAGAGAGGTTGGAGAGCATGGGCTATGCGGGGAATTGCATGGTTTGCAGAATGGTTGGAGGGATCAGAGGTAGAGGAACGGGGCTGCCAGTGAAGAGAGAGAGAGACCGAAAACTTAGGCAGGAGCAGGATCGTGGAGGACGCCTCAGTTATTTTAGGGGGTTTGGAATGGGTCCCTGGGAAGGTGACGGGTAACAGTGAGAAGCCGAGGAGGCACAGCAGGAGAGAAATAACCTCCAGAGCCAGGACGGAACAGAGAAGAAAGACATCTTTTCATTTCTTTCTTTCTTTTTTTTTTTTTTTTTTTTGAGATGGAGTCTCACTCTGTCACCCAGGCTAGAGTGCAGTGGCGCGATCTCAGCTCACTGCAACCTCCACCTCCCAGGTTCAAGCGATTCTCCCACCTCAGGCTCCCGAGTAGCTGGGACTACAGGCGCACACCACCATGCCTGGCTAACTTTTTCGTATTTTTTGGTAGAGATGGAGTTTCTTCATGTTGGCCAGGCTAGTCTTGAACTCCTGACCTCAGGCGATCTCCCTGCCTTGGCCTCCCGAAGTGCTGGGATTACAGGCATGAGCCATGGCACCAGGCTGGAAAGACACCTTTTCAGCATCCAGGGGTGGAACAGGCAGCCCCTCTAGAGGGCTGAGGGGAGACCTGCCTCTGAGTGGAGTTAGTCTGCAGTTAGGACTGGAAGTGGGAGAAATGCCAGCTCTGGAATCAGACAGCCTGGGTTTCAATGGCAGCTGTCATACTTGTCTGATCTTGGGAAAAATCCTTAACTTCTCAGAGCCTTGGTATTCTCATTTGCAAAATGAGAAAAATGATACTAACCATGTATGATGGTTGTGTAAATTTTGTGAAAGCAGTTCTACGAACAAGGCCTTGACAGCAGTGGTGAGAAATGAATAGATTGGAGCCGTTGCCTACAATGGCTGCCATGGTGTGAGTCATAGCAGACCTGCAGTAGACCTTCTAGTACCTAGAAGACAAGAAAACTTCTGTTCCTTGAATTCAGTGAAGATGCCTGACCAGACAGGAAATTGAGGCCCAAGGAATACTTCCAAAAACTTGTCTTTACAGAGTGGGATAGAAATGCATTAAGGCAAATGTGTCTGCTAGGTCAGCTGTCATGAAGAACCACAGACTGGGTGGTTGAATTAACAGCAGTTTACTGTCCCCATTCAGGAGGCTGAAGTCCAGGATCAAGGTGTCAGCAGGGCTGGTTCCTTGCAAGGCTGTGAGGCGGAATCTGTTCCAGGCCTCTCCTCTGGCTTCTGGTGGTAGCCTTGGGTGATCCTTGGCTTGTGTGCCCGTGCCCATTGCCCTCATCTCAGCCTTCATCTTCACTTGGTGTTCTCCCTGTGAGTGCTTGTGTCCAAAGTACCTTTTCTTTGAGACGGAGTCTCACTCTGTCACCCAGACTGGAGTGCAGTGGCACGATCTCGGCTCACTGCAAGCTCCACCTCCTGGGTTCATGCCATTCTTCTGCCTCAGCCTCCCTAGTAGCTGGGACTGCAGGTGCCCGCCACCACGCCTGGCTAATTTTTTGTATTTTTTTTTTTAGTAGAAATGGGGTTTCACCATATTCGCCAGGATGGTCTTGATCTCCTGACCTCATGATCCACCTAACTCGCCTCCCAAAGTGCTGGGATTACAGGCGTGAGCCACCACGCCCAGCCCAAAGTACCTTTTCTTTTTGAGACAGAGTCTTGCTCTGTCACCCAGGCTGGAGTGCAGTGGCACGATCTTGGCTCACTACAAGCCCTGCCTTGGGTTCACACCATTCTCCTGTCTCAGCCTCCAGAGTAGCTGGGACTACAGGCGCCCGCCACCACACCCGGCTAATTGTTTTGTATTTTTAGTAGAGACGGGGTTTCACTGTATTAGCCAGGATGGTCTTGATCTCCTGACCTCGTGATCTGCCCACCTCGGTCTCCCAAAGTGCTGGGATTACAGGCGTGAGCCACCGCACTTGGCCCAAAGTTCCCATTTTTATAGGGAAACCAGTAATATTGGATTAAGGTCCACTTTAAGGACCTCACCTTAACTATATTAATTGTAATAATCATAATTAATTAATTGTATCTGCAATGACTGTATTTCCATATAAGGACATACTCTGAGTTGCTGGGGGTTAGGACTTCAACATAGGAATTTTCGGGGGATACGATGCAACCCATAATAGCAAATGTTGTGAATAAAACTGTAAAAAGCACCCCTCCTTTTTCCCTAACAAATGAAGGCTTTGTCACTTGGTTTTCTGTCTTCTCTCCACCCTGGTTCTGCCGTCTTCCTGGGTGCCTTCAGCATGCGCTTGATGGCCTGTCCTCTTGGTGCCCCACATGTGGCCACTCCCCCACTTTGTCATGTGTCCCCCACCCCGCCCCACCAACTTGATGCAGTGTCATTGCCAAGATTCTTAATATGCATGTTCCTCTCTCTTGCTACACGTTTTTTTTTAACCATTCCAGCTGCCTGATCAGCTACTTCCACTAAAACCATCTCTGGCCCTCGGAACCCCCTGTTCATTCATTCTTTAACCTTTTCCTCATCCATTGGTCTCTCCTTATTTCTCTCCATATGTACCTTAGATTCCTTGGTTCCTCAACATTAGGTCTTACCAAATCATCTCCCCGTCCCTCGGCAAATTTGTCAAAACCCCAACTCTGGACGAACTCAACAATACATTTTCTCTGTACCTGTACCCAGGTATCCCAGGAGGTCAGA
Source organism: Homo sapiens (assembly GCF_000001405.40). Classification (NCBI taxonomy): domain Eukaryota; kingdom Metazoa; phylum Chordata; class Mammalia; order Primates; family Hominidae; genus Homo; species Homo sapiens. Next base: position 163,755,418 of record NC_000006.12, read on the forward strand.
GAAAACCACACAATAGGGCAGATAAGAATCCTGATAAACTCATAAGATACCAGCCTTGAATGGGGGCTCCATCCTGCCGAGCAATCCTACCGTATTTCCCTGGCCAGGATGTTCTCCTGTGCTCTTAATGACTATTTTGAACTTTCTTTACTATTTTGGAAATTCTAAAGCCTCATCAATACCTGTCTTTTCAGAAGAGAACCCTGATTCTTTTCTAAGAAAATTAAAGCATTTAGACTAGAACCCTTCAACGTTCTGCTCCCAAATCAATATACCTGACTGAATACCTCATTCCTTCCTCCCAGCCTCATTCCCTCTCTTTGCACTTAGAGGAGGTGTTTGTGTTCTTGGCCAAGCCTCATCTTTCTATCTGTGTTCTGGATTGCATCTCCTCCCACTTCTGAGAGATGTCTCAATATTGATTATTCTTTCCTGCTCTAAATTTCCCCCCTCCCAGTTCATTCCTATCATCATTTCTATATGCTTGAGCTTCTACCGTATTTATAGAAGAAATGAATTTCTCTTAATCTCACATTTGTCTTTCAGTTACCACCTGATCTCTTTTTTCTTCTACACCAAATTCCTTGAAAGAAGTGTATACAATAATTAGCCGAGTATTTCTTTTTAGCTACTAAAACATGTGATTTATTCTACCCACATATAAGGGTTACATTTTCATAGCTGAGTTTTAAAAAATTGTGGTGAAATACACATAACAAAAAATTTTACCATCATAACTATTTTTGAGTAAACAGTTCAGCCGTATTAAGTGTATTCACATTACTGTGCAACTGATCTCCGGAATTCTTTTCATCTTGCAGAACTGAAACTCTATACCCATGAAGCAACAAGTTTCCCTTCCCCATTTCTCCAGCCGCTGGCAGCCACCATTCTGCTTTCTCTCTCTGATTTGACTGCTCTGGATACTTCATGTAAATGGACTCTTACAGTATTTGTCTTTTTGTGATTGGCTTATTTCACTTAGCTTAATGTCCTCAAGGCTCATCCGTGTTGTGGCATGTGTCAAAGTTTTCTTTTTTGGAGCTAATATTCCATAGTAGTGTACACACACACACACACACACACACACACACACACACACGTATATTTCTTTTCTTTTCTTTTTTTTTCTTTTTTTTTGAGATGGAGTCTCACTCTGTCGCCCAGGCTGGAGTGAAGTGCCAAGGCTCACTGCAAGCTCCACCTCCCAGGTTCACACCATTCTCCTGCCTCAGCCTCCTGAGTAGCTGGGACTACAGGCGCTCACCACCACGCCCGGCTAATTTTTTGTATTTTTAGTAGAGATGGGGTTTCACCGTCTTAGCCAGGATGGTCTTGATCTCCTAACTTTGTGATCCTTCCGCCTCAGCCTCCTAAAGTGCTGGGATTACAGCATGAACCACCGTGCCCGGCTGTATATACACTACATTTCTACATTTTGTGTATCCATTCGCTCATCAGTGATGGACACTTGGGTTGCTTCTGTCTTTTTGCTATTGTAAATAGTGCTGCTGTGAACATGGATGTACACATATCTCTTCAGGGCCCTGCTTTTAATTCATTTGGGTACACACCCAGAAGTGGGATTACTGGATTATGTGGTAATTCTATTTTTAATGTTTTAGGAAGTTCCGTACTGTTTTCATAGTAGCTATACAATTTTACATTCCCACAAACAGCACTTAAAGATTCTAATTTCTCTACATCCTTGCTAACAGTTATTATTTTGTATTTCTCTCTTTTTCCAGTAGTGGCCATTCTAATGGGATAAAGTGGTATCTCACTGTGGTTTTGATTTGCAGTTCCCTAATGATTAGTGGTATTGAGCATCTTTTCATGTGCTTGTTAGCTATTTGTATATCTTCTTTGCAGAAATATCTATTCTTTGTTCATTTTTTAATAGGGTCTTTTGTTCTATTTTGTTGAGCGTAACTAGCCCAATTTTTTCATTTCCTCTTCACTCCTCAATGCATTCAACTTTGTATCCTGCTAATATCATATTAACAAAATAGTAGGTATCTCCACATCATCATGTGTGATGGGCATTTTCAGCCTTCATTTCATACTCTCAGCATTTGACCTGGCTGATCTCTCCTTTCCTTCTCCACACTGGCTTCATTGATGGCAGCTGACTTCCCCTCATGGCCCTGCCTTCTTTTCAGGCTGCTCTTCCTGCTTGTCCTCTTCAGCAGACTTCTCCATCCTGTTCTCCTTCACAGTTTGCTCTCAGGTCTCCTTCACACTCTGCTCTTGCCTGGAGATCTCACCCTTGCTCATGGCTGTTGCCAGCTACAAGTGCCATTTGCATTCCAATGACTCCAAACTTTAAATTTGTAGATCAGCTTGCTTCTCTGAATTCCAGATGCAAATGATCTCATTGCCCATTAACATTCCCACTTGCACTTCTTAAGGACACTCTTCATGTTCAAACCTAAACCTTTGGTCTGTCTCTGAAAGCTGCTCCTCCTTGATTTCACACATCAGTAAAAGGCACTGTTACCTGCCTGGTCACCAGGACCCTCAGACTATGACCTCTTTCTCTTCCTCCTTTCGTTTCCATGTCCTGAGGATTTCAACTCTTAAATATATGGAATATCTCTTACATACATCCACTTTTATCAACTCCTGTCCGTCTGTCAGAGGCGTTTGAACCAGAGCTACTCCGTCTTGAATAGGGGCTGGGTAAAATAAGGCTGAGACCTACTGGGCTGCATTCCCAGATGGTTAAGGCATTCTTAATCATAGGATGAAATAAGGGGTCAGCACAAGATACAGGTCATGGAGACCTTACTGATAAAATAGATTGCAGTAAATGAGCTGGCCAAATCCCATCAAAACCAAGATGGCAATGATAGTGACCTCTGGTCGTCCTCACTGCTACACTCCCACCAGCGCCATGATCATTTACAAATGCCATGGCAACATTAGGAAGTTACCCTATATGGTCTAAAAAGGGAGGCATGAATAATCCACCCGTTGTTTAGAGTATCATCAAGAAATAACCATAAAAATGGGCATCCAGCAGCCCTTGGGGCTGCTTTACCTGTGGAGTAGCCATTCTTTTACTCCATTACTTTCTTAATAAACTTGCTTTCACTTTACTCTGTGGACTCGCCCCCGAATTCTTTCTTGCGTGGGGTCCAAGAGCCCTCTCTTGGGGTTTGGTCAGGACCCCTTTCCTGTAACACATCCTCGTTACTGCCGCGTGCATCTTATTGCCTTCTAGCTCCGCTCCCCATATGCGTGCTTTTATTTTTTATGCTCCACATAGAGCAATCTCTTTAAAATATACTCTGGATTATCTTGACCCACTGTTTACAATCGTGTATGTACGGGCTTCCCTAGGTTCTCAAAGAGCAGTGATGTGGCCCCAGGGGCTGGGAACAAGGGGAGAGCAGAAGGGGTGTGTTAATCAAGTTTATCTTAAAGCTGCCTCCTTACATATTTAAGTTCAGCCTGAAGGTTTTTCTGTACATCGTGAACTATAACAAGTGGAGGTGTAAACCAACAATAGCCCACACCTGTGCCAGTTACTGAGTTTTGGCCAAATGTAGCCAACTGTTTGAACCAAGTTCAAATAAGGCTAACGGCAACCTGTAACCAATCCAGCTGTTTTTATACCTCACTTCCAATTTCTGTACATCATTTCCTTTTTTTTTTTTTTTTGTCTGTAAATCTTTTTTGACCACGTGGCTGCTCTGGAGTCTCTAAATCTACTGTGATTCTGGGGGCTGCCCATTCACAAATTGTTCATTGCTCAGTTAAACTCCTTTAAATTTAATTCAGCTGACATTTTTCTTTTAACAGGTGGAAGATTGAAGGTCTGAAGAGTGGGAAGTCCCAGGAACAGGCAATTCCAGGAAGATATGAGGAAAATCAAGAAAGAGAAGGAAACTGAAGCTAGTGGGAAGTGCTTCAAGTTGGAGATGATGCTGAGATGGCCAAAAAGTGAGAGGTGGAAAACATTTGGAGTGAGTTAAGGAGAGAACGCGAGGCAAGGAAGTGAAGCTGAGTGAGTTGGGGAGTGGGGTGCAGGGGCCTTTGGCCACCCCAGGCTCTTTCTATGTGAACATTCTGAGACTGATTCTGATTTTTTTCCCCTCCCAAATTGCTCTCTTTTCCTTTCTTCACCTACTTACTCCCTGGTCATCCTTCCTTTGGGTCAGTGAAGTTGCTGATTCTTTAGGGAACACTTCTCTGATTGCTGAAGCTAATAGTCTCTCCCTGCGGTTGCCGGTTGTTTCCAATAGTTGACTAGTTTTCTTCCCCAGCACTTACGAGTACACAGCCAGTCACTCTGGTTGCTCACTGTCTTCCTTCTTCCTTGACTGTCAGCTCACAGGAATGCAGGGCCCTTACTTGTTTTACTCACCACTGCATCCCAAGGATATAGCAGAGTGCCTGGCACACGGTAGGTGCTGAATAAATATTCGTTAAATGATTGATTGGAGGAAAAAACCACCATCCTCCATGGTAAACCTTTACTTTACTTTTGCATACTTCTAAAAGTATAATCTAGAGGTTCAGTGACTCCCGCAAATAAACAGAAAAGGGCACAGAGGGTGGCGATAGGGCCACTGATAACAGGAGCTGGAAGTAGAAGACATCTTTTTTCCGAAGTTGAAGACTTGTACTTCCATAACCTTGGCAGATTAGGAAATGTCAATTACCCTCCAATCCAACCTCCTATATAGAGCCACACACTGGTTTCCTAGCCTTTTATGTATTGAAAAGATGTTATCCTATAAATTTTCTTCTTTTCCAATGTGTTCTATAAATATCCACTAAAATACTTTAATTGCAAGAAAGTTAGATATTTGAGGTTATATCCATGTTTCATTTCTGTGGAAAACAACACAGAAAATGTTACCCAAGTATAACTGGGCACCATGGCTCCAATATTTTCTCATTATCAGCTCAAATAAACACAACTTAGAATAAAAAAGTCATGTAAAGCAATTCAAATATTTCACTTCATCTGTCAAGGAAATATCAGGAGGGTGGTTGGGAGTACATTCTTGATGCACAGCAGGAATCTTTTACACTTCTTTCTCCCCATTTCTGCCCCTCTCGGTATCCTCCACAGGGAGAGCAGCTGCTCCCTGAAACTCTCACTCTCTCTGCATTTTTCCTTTCCAGTGCCTCAAAACTGCACACCACCTGGTACTTGGCAGTGCAGCACTTTGCTCAGGGGGATGGGTCTCCATCTCTCTGCCGTCCTGTTTTTCTTTTTTCCCGTCAATTATTCTTTGCCTTTTCCATAGATCAAGAAGAAGGTGATGTGTACTCATGTACATTAAAAACTCCTGTCTCCATTGCCTATGAACAGCAGCATCAAACCACTATGCAGAATTAGCATGAATTTATAGCTAGAATAGGAAAGTTCAAACTTGGAAACAACCATCGTAGTTTACCAGTTGGGTTTTGAAGTTTTTTCTCTCAGATCTGTTGCTTACTAGCAATGTGAACTAGGTAGCAAATTACCCTCTCTTGAAATGTTAGCAGATTCACTTGTGAAATGAAGTTAGTGATGAAGGCCAAGGTAGGGATAGCCATGCAGTTCTGTTTCTCCTTATCTCATCATCTCACTTTCCCAGGGAGATCTTTAATCTTGGAAATTAGCACTCTCTGGTCACGTGGTGAAAGTGGGTTGGAAGAAAGATGCATGCAAGGAGCAGTGCTTCTACCCCACCCAGTTATCATGAGCTTTGAGTGAGAGGGTTCATGTAGAGTGTTTAGGATGGTTTTTGACTCACAGTGAGAGCCCATAAACGTGAGCTGTCTGTCTCCTCTGTCCCTCGTCCTTTTTACACCCCCTCACCCACTGCATTTTCTTCTCCTCTGTCATTGCAGAGGCAGTCAAGCGTATTAGTTCACCCATTCTTCCATCAACTTTGAACTAGGGCTTATAATATTCATTTTGCAGTTGAAGACATGGAGGAAGAAAGGAAAACGAGGAAAAGAGACAAAGAGACAAGAGGAATGAAGTGCTCCTGTGATCAGTTTTCCTCATTTCATTTTTTTCTTTGAGTTGAGAGGGTCAGCTCACTTTCTGCCTCCACTTTCCTTGAAAATTCCAATGAACAACCCTCTTCTATATTTTCAGGCTCAGAGTATGCACCAAGTTAGATGAGTCTTGATCCTGAAGGATTAACATGAAACAAGCTGGCAAATAGAATATAGATTAATGGGGTCCAACCATACCATTGAATATGATTAATGGAATTGGGGAATTTGGTTGATGGAATGAGATCTCCCAAACCTTCTTACATGTGGGAGATGACTAAGTGAATTAGTTTCCTAGGACTGCCATGACTAAATACTGTAAACTGGGTGGCTTAAACAACAGTACTTTATTTTTCAGTTTTGGATGCAGACAGCCCAAGACCAAGATGCTGGAAGAATCGGTTTCCTTTGCGGATGCTCTCCTAGGTCTTTTTTTTTTTGGAATCTTGCTATTCGCCTGCCTCAGGCTCCCGAATAGCTAGGATTACAGGCACCTGCCATCATGCCTGGCTAATTTTTGTATTTTTGTAGAGACGGGGTTTCATCATGTTGGCCATGCTGGTCTTGAACTCCTGATCTCAGGTGATTCGCCCACCTCGGCTTCCCAGAGTGTTGAGATAACAGGCGTGAACCACCACGCCTGGCCTCTCCTAGGTTTTTAAATGACTGCATTCTTCCTGCCTCTTCACACAGTCACCCTTCTGTGCACAAGGATCTGCTGTCTCTCTGTCTGTGTCCTAACCTCCTCTTCCTATAAGGATTCCAGTTGGATTGGACTAGGGACCTCACGTAGGACCTCATTTTAACATAATTACCTCTTTAATACCCTGTCTCCAAATACGCTCACCTTCTGAGGTACTGGGGGTTAGGGCCTCAAAATATGAATTTGCGGGAAGGAGAAATATAGCTTAGCCTATAACAACTATAGGGCCAAAATCTATTTTGTTAGCCTATTAATGTGTGAACATTTTTGATATGTAAAGAAGCTCACACTTTGGGAGACCAAGGCAGGCCGATCACAAGGTCAGGAGATGGAGACCATCCTGGCTAACATGGTGAAACCCCGTCTCTACTAAAAATACAAAAAAGTTAGCCAGGCTGTTGGCAGGCGCCTGTAGTCCCAGCTACTCGGGAGGCTGAGGCAGGAGAATGGCATGAACCCCGGAGGCAGAGGTTGCAGTGAGCCGAGATCGCGCCACTGCACTCCAGCCTGGGCAACAGAGTGAGACTCCATCTCAAAAATAAAATAAAATAAAATAAAAAATAAAAAAGAAGCTCAATGTTTTTAATGCAACAGACCCTGCGGAAGGTCAGTAACACCAGTGTGAACCCAAGTCACATCCCAGAGAATTGCAATCACCTTTGTTGTATGCCTCTTAGGGCATTGTGGAAAGGGAGACTCACTAATGTTCATTTTGGTTATGATTTAATAATGAACCGGTGATGGATTACTAGCTCATAAAGTCAACTCAGAAAGTTGAACTTGGGGTGATTTTTTTCTGAGTTTGAATCTTGTAAGCATGACTTGAGAGGGAAACCAACAATGTTTAAAAGAGAATAAATGCTATTTTCTGAATCCAATTTAAAGAAAGGGAAGTAGCCCAGTGTTTAAGGCAGAATTATCTTGAATCCACAGCATATTCTAAGGCCAGAATGTTTACAAGTGCTTTGGCCTTAACATGTTCAAGAATTGTTTGACACCATCTTTGTAAGAACCTTTGGATATTTTTTCAAAGTCCTCAAGCTATTTTATTTCCGTAGAGTACTATTTCACAGTGACATAAGCTGTTTGAGGTTGGATATTTTCTGCTTCTAGTTTTCTCTTTGAAAGCAAAAACTAGAAGCCTCGGAGCTCAAATTGTTCTGAAAGGCAGAGAGTCCCAAGTGTGAGGGCCAGGGGTGCACGTGGCCTCCTGTGTTCCTCTGTCAGCAGGTTTGGACCAGAAGGAAGACCAAGGTGTGGATAGCCATGCAGTTGTGTCTGCTTGTCTCATCATCTCACTTTCATGGGAAGCTCTTTAATCTTGGAGTTCAGCACTCTCCGGTCATGTGGTGAAAGTGGGTTGGAGCAAAGATGAATTAGAGGAGTGCTGCTTCTATTGAGGATAGGAGGCATGAGTTTAAGGGGCAAGTTCCATTCTTCCCTGAAGCAGCAACCTACACCAAGGTAGAGATGACCACCTGTCTCTGGTTCTTCTTGGCCCCACTGTTTGGACTCTTGGCTACTTAAGAAGATGATTTCTCCCAGATGAAATTCTTGTTGGCATTTAGTTGTATTAAAAGTCATTTTTGGTGCTAGTGGATGAAGCCTTTTCCTTTAAAAATAATAGCCAGGTTAGTCCAATTGTGAGAGTTCTAAAGTTATTTTGAGTCTTCTGTAATGACTTTACAATAAATAGTTTAAATAAAGGTAAAGGACTCTGAAAAGAATACTCAAATTGAATGAATTTTTTTATGACGTATCCTGGATGGCATCCTCCATGACTCTAGACCTGGCCCCAAGCTCTTCCTTCTCTCCACCTGATACATGATGGATCTTCCTCTGTTTATGACTTTACTTACTGTCTGTCATGGGAAACACTGCCTCTCTCTCCTGACTTATTCTCAGTTCCTCAGTCTCATTCAGCCTAATCCTTGAAGCAAAGGATGGCTTATCCTGGATGATCTTGGATGATCTTTCCCCAATATAATTAATATAGAAAGCCTGAGAGTTCATCTAGGTGATGTCTAAGGCATTATTTAGCTCTAAAATATCTATAATCCGTTTTCTCATCTTCATAAGGCGCTTCTCTATTTTATCCCATAAGGGCAATATAAACCTTCCATCCACTCATCACTCAAAGTAGTATCAGTGTTCTTTGACTGTTTTTTGGGCTTCTTTATCTCTTATGTGCCGCCAAATGCTCCCAGGATGGTTTTCTATAGCACGTATCTTTGTTTTCTTTAGTTTTAAGGCAATGAAAGTTCTACAACATTTTCAAACTATGTAAGTCTCCAATATCTCAGTAAGCAAAGCATTTGGCAAGTCCCAGTATTTAAGAGAGTTTGTAAAGTGTGTTCTAAATTTTTCCTTGTTTCTCTTTTACCCTATACTAGGTAAGCAATTATTTTTGCTATCCTTTCATCATTCGTCTCCTTTCGTGGGCCCCCTGAGGCTTGTGGCCAGACATTACAGAGGTGGTTTCTCCGAATGATAGCCTGTAGACAGTCAGCGTTTCCCTGGGAGGGGCTGTATTCTCTTTACAATCCAAACAACCAACCCAGAATAAAATCTCAGCAATGTTTCTGGCCTATAAACAGCATGCCTTCTTCGGTTCACTTCCTGACACCTCCCCAGGCTGTTTGGGTTTTTGCAAACATCCTCACTGGCTGCAGGAAGGGTGGGATGAAACTGTTTAGTTGTTCAAGGAGTACAGAAGTCTCATCAGTCAGCAGCTCCTGAAAGAACCAGGGCCAGAAAGAACAGGCACTCCAGAGGGCACGAGACAAGGAGCAGAATGAAGACAGAAGCAAAGATGAAAGAAGATAGGAGCAAAGGGTAGATCTGGAAAGGTTTAGCAAAAGCCGTTGTGTTTCTTTTCTAACAGGTTTGTTCTTGTACAGCCATTAAAATTAGTAGCACAAGCGTGCTCAAAACAGCCTGTTATCCACGTTTCTGTGTTTAGCTCAGTCTAGCAAAATTGTTAAAAGTCACTTTGCCAGACTTCCGTAGGTGGTATCACTTCAAGAGAAAATGGCCAAGCCTTTTTCTCAGGTGGGGCAGACCCTTGGTTTAGATCATTAAGTAGGGCTTTGTGGCTGTCAAGAACTGGGCTGATATGAGAGCATATCATATCATGGATGAGAGTACAGGAATAAACCTGCAAGGAAAAACAGTTCTCTTTTTCCTCTTTCCTTTCTATGTTTCTTTCCTTTTTACATGGAAGGTCAGTGAATGAAGATTAAATAGACTGTCTTTCTGTTCTTTGTCTTCTTTCTGACAAGAACAGCTGTGACATTCTCAATGACAAAGAAGGAACAATTTGCAGAGACGCTGGGCCAAATTTTCAAAATTGAGTTCCTAATTTACACATGAAAAATATGTGACCTTGAGGATGATTATTGGAACAAACACAGATTTTACATGTGTGTGGTTGGGAGTGTTTGCATCACTGCAGTTCTGCCTTTGCACAAATGCACCCAAGCTGAAGCTCACTGGACAGATGCAATTCCTAGCCATGCATGAGTCCTTGGGCAGCTAATGTTTCAGCTTTGAACCTTTCTCTTTCAATAGTAAATTTCCAAACACAAAGTGGATCATAGACACATACAAATGTACTTTTCTACTTTTTCAAAGTTTTGGTGTAGATTTGTAGTATGGCTTTAATGTGGTGTACCTATTGCTGTGCAGTAATGTCTGGCAATGGGTTTGCCTGAGTTTATAGTGAGAATGTCTTTAACATCCATGAGACCCAGGGATCTAAAAAATTGTTTAGAAAATAGCTCAGAATGAGGCCTGGTATGGTGGCTTGCACTTGTAGTCCCAGCACTTTGGGAGGCCGAGGTGGGCAGATCACCTGAGGTCAGGAGTTCAAGACCAGCCTAGCCAACACAACAAAACATCATCTCTACTAAAAATACAAAAATTAGCCGGGCATGGCGACGCATGCCTGTAGTCCCAGCTACTTGGGAGGTTGAGGCAGGAGAATCGTTTGAACCCAGGAGGCAGTGGTTGCATTGAGCCGAGATTGCACCATAGCACTCCAGCCTCGGTGACAGAGCGAGACTCTGTCTCAAAAAAAAAAAAAAAAAAAAAAAGGGAAAAAAAAAGAAAATAGTTCAGAATGGTTACACCATGGCCAAACAGATTATAAATGTTCTCTTCTTACTTCTAAGCTACTCTGAAATAGGCCCCACTGTGCATCAGACATTGTTCTGGTGCTTCCTGTGACTCACACTGTAGCTTCGGGGAAGTCTTTGTTTTCTACTACTTTCTACTACCTGAGGCTGCTAATCTTCAAGTGGAAGTTGTTGGGTAGCTAGTGTTAGACAGTTCTCCTAGGGCCTGGAGACCTCTGAACTTAATATGTAAGGTAGGGGCTTTCACTAAGATAAATGCTGGTTCCCCTGGACCAGTAGGACTCTCTCTAAAGAGGCAAGCTGAGCAGTAGAGTACTTACACTGTATTGTGTTTTGACACTGGCCACACTAGTCTCCCCCAGTGGAACTAATCCTCCATTAGTTTTTTTTCTCCCTGGAAAATGATAAAATGGTAGTCCTTGTCTGCTGTATACAGGCCAAAGTCGATGAAGAACTTGGTTGGATAGCCATCATTTGGTTTATTTGGACATAGATTAGTTTACTGAGCCATAGAGTTATTTAAAGGTCCCAGATAGTACCAGGGGATGCGTCCCTGAGAAATCTTACCTAGCTCTTGATGATGTGTAGAACATTGAGAAGGTAGAGTCAACTCTGAACCCAGCTAGGTATTACTTATTCAAAGGGGACTAGAAACATTTTTCCAGGGAGAAAAAAACCCATTGCCATCTATGGCAGGGGACTCTGACTCCTCCAGGATTTGAGATTGTAGGGGAAAACAAATATCACGGAATCAAATAGAATCTCTGGAACAGACATACAATGCAGGATTGAGGACCCTCTCACCTTAGTCATACTGACTGAGAAAGCCTTCTTACAGATGTGTTGTCTGTTAGCTTCTCGTCATAGTTAGTACTGTAGGCTATTAAGTGGGCTAAAAAGGCTAAGTAAGGATGGTGCCCATTTTGCTGACTTACAAATATCTTAATGTCAATCTTGAATAAACCTCATTCCACCCAATTTCCTAGCTTTGCTTTTAGCTAGAGTTTTAATGGAGAGTGATAGCAACCTCTTGTTATGATTCTGTTCTTGTCAAATTTGGTTTGCAGTTTGTTATTGTTGTTAGACAGTTTCATCTTCCTTTACCATTTTCTTAATTTTTTTTTGGATTGCCACTTCTTTTATTTTGAGTTTCTAGAATCCAGGAGAATATTTTCTATCTAGGTTAATTTAATTAATATTTTTAAACCTTCTTCAAGGCAATGTGGTGGAAAGACCCCAGGAAGTGGAGTCTGTTTTCTTGCCTTTGTGTCCCACCTCTTTATTATATAACAGTCAGCGAATCACTTGATCTCTTTGACACTTAATTTTTCCCAACTATAAGCTAGAAATAAAAACCTGTGTCTCACTCCTTCCAAAGTTGTGATGATCAAATGAAATAATGGATATAAAGTCAATTACTTTGTAAACCCCAATGTCAATAACTATTATTAAGCCATTTAAATCCCAGGAATATTAATACAGGTTTTTATTTAAAATGGTTTCTAAACTTAAGGGTATTATAAGGATAACATTTATTTCTAGCCTTTTGCTCATGCACCATGGTGTATAACACCATGTTCTTGGGTAGGAAACAGCTCTATTTTTTGGTGTTTCCTATTCCATATGAGCTCTGAACATTTAAATAAATAGAATACACTATGGAAGAAATGCCATTCTTATTTTTTAACTAACTATAAAGATGTCATCTATTTATTGCTTCAATTATTTGTATAATTTTATATAAACCAAAGTGGGATAATCTGAGTTTTTGATGCCTTTCCAATAATTTAATTTTCATGTTAAAAAATCTCATTTTGTAGATTGGGACTTTTATTTCTGGTAATATCTCAGACTGAGCAACCTGAAAGGACATTGACTAAAAAAAAAAAGTCTCAGATATATAACAACAACAATAACTTTTAATGCGTCCCTGGGCTCACTAGAAAGTAAGGAGAATGTCTGAAGAAAGATTAAAAACAAAAACAAGAACAGGGGTCTAAGATCATAGAGCAGTAAAGAGTAGACAAACACTTGGAAAGTGGTCTTGAAATTAAATGCCTAGGTCAGTACCACTATGCAGGAAGCTTTGAGACTATAAAAGGTGGAGAGATAAAACTTAAAACTTCCATATTAACCCAGTTCTCTTAACAAAGACTAGAGTGATTACAAATAAATAGTGCCACTGGCTCTTGAGAGAAGCAAACACAATCCCCTGTAAACAGGAGCTTTACAAATTTAGTTGCCAGGATCATTACAGATTAAGGTAAACAAAATCTGATTTCACAAAAAATTACTCAAAGGAAAAATATCAGCCACTATAAAGGAAAATAAGCCAAAAGAACAAGCACTGTATGTAAAACCTCATTTTAAAATATCAAAATGACCAGCTGGTGGAATATAAAATAGATACAAATGAAATGTTTAAGGTAAAAAAAAAAAAAAGATGTAATAAAAATGAGAATAAAATAAAAGGTTACAAAACTGACCAGGCATATCTAAAAAACAAAATAACCATATGGAAATTCTAGGAATGGAAAAACTTAAAATTAAAAAACTCAATGAATTAATTTAAGCAGATTAGACATAGATGATGAAAGGATTCATGACATAGAAAATAGATCTGAAGAAATAATCTGGGATGTAGTCTATATATCAAGAATATGAACATTTTGAAAGAGAGGTAAGGAAACATGGAGAATAGAATGAGAAGAGCTAATTCTAATTAGTTTGAAGAGCTAATGTCTAATTAGTTTGAAGGAGAAAATAGAGGAAACTGAGGAAGGGCAGTATTGAAAGGATAATGACTGATAATTTCTCAGAACTGATGAAAGACAGAAATCCACAGATATTTGTGGCAAACTGTATACCAAGAAGAATAAAGGAAAAGAAACACATAGACAGTGCTATAGAACACTAAAAACAAATAGATTTAAATACAGCAAAAAATAGTTAAAAATTCAATTAATAAAAAGCAAAAAAGGAGAAAAAGAAGTACAAAAATATAAGGCAGATAGAAATCCTGAAACTAGGTGGTATAAATCAGTTCCGATTTATCAATAAACACAACTTAAGACGATTAACCCCACCAGTTATATGGTAGATATGATTAAGAAAAGCGAAATTCCAACTGCTAACTATATTATTTATGAAAGATCACTACAAAATATAAGCACATAAAAAATACAGAAATAAAAGTTGTAAAAGATATTCCAAGCAAATTCTAAAGAAAGTCATCATAACATTGCTATCAGACAAAAACACGTAATAAAAAATGAAGATCATTACATAATGATAAAATTTCTAATTTAGCAAGAAGATCAAACAATTTTAAACTTGCATAGTTTTAATAAAACAAACATAAACATATACAAGCCACATATGACAAATCTACAAAAAGCAGTTGACAAAATTACCATCACTGTGTGAACATGCGGTACATCTCTCTCAATTATTGCTGTGTGCAGACTGAAATTAGTGAAATTAGAGAAGATTTAAGCAACATAATCAACAAGCTTGATTTAATGGCAATATATATAAAACCTTGCATCTGAATATTAGAGACTATACATTCTTAAAGCATACCTGGAATATTTATAAAAATGGATTGTGTACAATTATATTCACATCAATGACAAAAGATAGAAGATAGCTCCACATTTAGAAATTTGGAAACACTACTAATTTATGAATCGAAGAGGAAATAAAGTGGAAGTTCTTAAATATCTACAAGCAAATGATGAACTACTACATATTAAGGTGTGCTATAAAACAGCAGCATTTTAAGAAATATTTATAGTCTTAAATGTGTATGTCATAAAAGAAGAGAGGCTAACATTTAGAGAACTAGTCATCTCTGAGGAGTTAGACAGAGAACAATGACATAAACCCAAAGAGAATATAATGAAATAAATAATAAGATTAGAACCAGTGAAATAACTAAGATGCAATAGAAATAATCATCGAAGCCAAACATTGGCTTTGAAAGATGAACAAAGTAGAAAAACATCTGGTGAGAAGGGGAGAGAGGATGGGAGGGAGGAAATAGGCACAGAGAATACAATAAAGGAGCAGAATAAATAATATAATAAATAATAAATTATGTAAACAATTTTATATTAAGCATTTGGAAACCTCAATAAAATTGAGGTATTTTTAGAAAAATATAACTGATCCAAAATGACTAAAGAGACAACTGAAAGACAAAGCAGGCTGGGCGTGGTGGCTCACGCCTGTAGTCCCAACACTTTGGGAGTCTGAGGGGGCTAGGATTGCTTGAGCTCAGGAGTTTGAGACCAGCCTGGGCAACATACCAAGACCCCTGTCTCTATTAAAAATAAAATAAAAAAAAAATCAGCCAGATGTGGTGATGCACCTGTAGTCCCTGCCACTCAGGAGGCTGAGGTGGGAGGATTGCTTGAGCCTGGGAGATTGAGGCCGCAGTAAGCTATAATTGTGCCACTGCACTCCAGCATATCTCAAAAAAAAAAAAAAAAAGAGAAAAGAGAGGCAAAACAATCCTATAGGTATTACAGACACTGAGTCAATAATTTAACGTATTTCCCAAAAGAATATCAGGTGAGATGATTTTACAAGTGAGTATATCCACATTTTAAAGGATTTATAATTCTATTATGCCATTTTAGAAACATAACATTGAGCAGAAGAAGTAGTTACAAAAAATGATTTGCTGTATGTTACCACTTTTATAAAGTTCAAAACCAAGACAAATTAAATAATTTTGGGAAACAGTGCTACACGACTGTTTTCATGTTTCTGCGTGGTCAGGGCTTTCTGAGTAAAGATTGTTGGCACGTGGGTTAAGGGATGATCACTCCAGAAAGATAGAAAATCTTGCCTCTCCCTTGAGGCATTTGTTTACATTTCAAAGGGCCATAAAAGCCTGATATTATTACCTTTCTTTCCCAAGAGAGAATTTGACATCGTGATAGAGAACAAAGGCCTCTTTCCCTCTGTCTCTAGAGAGGAGGAGGAGCACTTTTGCCAATCATCCTATATAAGCTCTGAGACTCATAATTCTGGGGTTCCTCTCCTGTGGTGTACAACCCACAATTGTAGGTACAGTGTCTATCTGGCTCTCATTGCTTCAGTCCATGGGTGTCTGAGGTGTTAGGAACCAATGCAAGATACTCTGTGAGTCATTAAAAGTCTACATCTGATCCAGAAACCTCATGCTTCCTGTTAGAATGAATGAATGAATATGTAAACAAGAAAAGGTATAAAAACTTGATAAACAGTACATTAACACATTTCTTAGAGATATACCTGTGTGACAAAACTATAAAAAGCTGTAACTGCATTAAATCATCTTCATTTTCAGGAATTCAGGTGCTTAATGTTTTACAAAAAGCATCTTTATTAGACTTTTTGAATATATCTTATTAAATAAAGTTGACTCTGGAAATGTAAATAGTTTTACATAATTCAGACAAAAATGAAACGAACAACCTCTGGAAATAAAAAAAAAAAGTTAACTTAAACTTTGTTTTTTGAGGTGGAGTCTCACTTTGTCACCCAGGCTGGAATGCAGTGGCATGATCTCTGCTCACTGCAACCTCTGTCTCCTGGGTTCAAGTGATCCTCCTGCCTCAGCCTCGCTAGTAGCTGGGACTACAGCCATGCACCACCATGCCTGGCAGATTTTTGTATTTTTAGTAGAGATGGGGTTTCACCATGTTGGCCAGGCTGATCTCGAACTCCTGACCTCAAGTGATCCACCTGCCTTGGCTTCCTAAAGTGCTGGGATTGCAGGCAGGAGCGACCAAGCTGACAAGTTAAATTAAAAAAAAAGTTAGATTAGCCATTGGCTGGCATAACCACACAGTAGAAACTATTTCAAATGGTTTAAAATACATTAATTTGATTTTACTTCTCCAATGTACATATATACATATAGGATACATTTTAAAAAATTATAAGCTGCTTTCAGTAATCACATTGCTAGTGGCCAAGTTGGTATTATAATTCAGAGGCTGCTTTGTATGATAGGAATAAAATTGATGAATAATTATGTGATATTTTACCATTCACTGAGAACAAAAATTTTGTAGTGAAAAAAGGAAGATACTTAGATGTAATGGAAGTTAAGAAAAAATCTTGGACTTCAAATATCAGTATAAACTCATGATGGATTTTATATTTTAAAAACTTACTTTCCTCCTGGATCTGTTTACTGAAAAGACCTAGAAACAATGTCCAATCTAAGAACAATAATCACCTTTAGAGCTCATATTGTATTCTCTACATACCATTTCCCTCTGAAAGGAACCAGAGATCCTTGGTAAAAAGGCTCATCCCGGGTCTGGGGGAGGAAATATACAAGATGAGCCATCATCATAAAAATCTACTATAATGCTGTCAGTAGGACTGAGGAACTCCCTTGAGGAGCTTTCTACTATATTTAAAGATTAGATATTTTGAGTATCAGTACTAATAATATCTGCAGCAGACTGCACATTAAATATATTTATATCCATGAGTTTCTAATGATGCAAAAAAAAAAATAAGAAAAAGAAAAACCGATTAATTGTTCACCACTGAAAGAAACTAGTAACCTAATTTTTTTTTTTTTGAGATGGGATCTCACTGTGTTGCCCAGGCTGGCCTCAAACTCCTGGGCTCAAGTGATCCTCCTGTCTCAGCCTCCCAAGTCACTGGGACTACAGGGGCATGCCACCATGACTGGCTATAAACTAAAATTTAATTTTAAGAAATAGTAAATAAAAAAATCCAGCTTTAATTCTGTCTTCTTTATAAAAAATTGAACCCTGGGTACTCAAATTACAGTTGAGGAGAAAATTTTTTAATTGAAGTTTTAATTCTATCTAACAAATAAACATGGAATGATGTTTATTTGCCAGTTTTCAAACCTGAGTGAATGAATGAATAAACGGACCTGGGAATTGATCAACAATGGCTGCTGCATCGCGTAAAGAGAGACGACCAGGTACGGTATGCCTCCTGATGGGAAAAATGCCACCAGTCATGAAGTAGTCTTTCCCCCTCATCCCCTGAGAAAATCAAACCGGAATTTGATTAAGCCTCTAGATCCAACTTCCATGCATAGGAAAATCTGAGGGCAGAATTATCTAAGTCGCAGTTACCATTAGAGCACAAAAGACAAAATCCAGCATGTGAAAGGTCTCCAGAAGAAAGGCGTTGAATAGAGGGCAAGAGTGTGTGCATGAAGGGGAGTCTATCATCACAGACACTCAGGAGACAGACATATTGACCAAACACAATGTGTGGGTCACATTGCATCCTGATTCAAATGAACTACTAAAAACTCTGTAGCACCTGGGAGGCAATTAGAAATTTGAACACTGAGTATGTATTACTATTTGATAAATAATGAGTAAGACAAATTTCAATATAACACTAATAAGGAATTATTAAGTATGTGATAATGGCATTGCAGCTATATCAGAAAAGATAAAGTGTCTTTGAAATTCAGACTTGCACTGGTTGTCTATAATAAAAACCATAAAACGTCAGTGGCATACGACAGGAAGACTTGATTGTTCACAACTCTGGGCCGTCTGGCTAGGTGGCTCTATTGATCTTGGCTATATGTGGCTGAGCAATTCTCCTTTCTGCCTGAATTGCTTACACAGGTGTCAGCTGGCTGTCAACTGATCTAGGATGGTCTTGGAGGGACAACGAGGGCAACCCCATGTCTCTTCTTTAGCAGGCCAGCCCAGACATGCTTTCATGGCTGAATAGGAGCCAGCCTGGTCATGGGAGCAATTTTCAAGCAAGTCTCTGCTTGAATGTCACATTTACTAACATCCTGTTGGCCAAGGTGCATCCCATGGCTGAGCCCAGTGTCCAAGTGAAAGGGCACCAGGAAGTTCCCTGCAGCGCTGTGGGTACTGGAAGAATGGGCGCCATCTTCATGACAGCAGCATGCTAAGTTACAGAAAGTGAGCGGCGTTCTAGACAAAGCAAGCTCATCTGTGAATGGATCATGGCGGAAACCTGACCACAGTATGTTGGGATTTATGTGTTTGACATTTTCTATAATAGAAAGGCAGATCAAAAATAAGGCTCCAGTGCCTCCACTCAGGAAAGCTCAAGTAGGTTTTCTTGAGAATTTTTAGTGGATACCCTGTTTTGCAATGTTCTTTTCTTTTTCTAATGAGGCTGAACCAGATTGTAATGCCATGAGGCTTCTACATGGAGAGCTGGACGTTGGTGAGGATTGGGTGGAGAAGGCCGGGTGGAGGCTGGGCCTGGGAGAAGAGCAGCAGATTCCCAAACGTACTGGTATTGGTGCATACTCTGAGAAAGACATCTCAGAGCACTTCTGCCGTCAGTTACGAAGTTTCAATATAAGAATTCTTTCTACACATGCCTGCCTGTCTTTTCTTGTGACGCTTTGACAGAAGAATTGTTTTCCTTATGTGTCACATACTATACGGTTAGACACTAACACATGTTTGTTTGAGCATATGACAATTTCAACCTGACAAGCTTGAGGCTTTCCTTCTCCTCTCTCTCTTTCTTTCCTTCCTTCCTTTCATGCACTTATTTTAGAAATATGTATGAAACTTCTCTTAGAGGCAGGCTCTGTGCTAGGTACTCGCGATAAAAGGGTAAACTGAAAAACAGATCTAATTGAGTCTAGAACTTGTTATTTCAAGCTGAAATTCATAATGCATGCAAAAACTCTATGACAGCTTAGGTCCACCAGGACACTCTTTTTATGATATTTAACAACAGAAATTCAGTGCAAAGTCTTCTAAAACTAAGAAACTACAAAACTACCGCCTGTAAATCCAAACCTTCAATAATTCTTTACCTTCAGATCTTTATATTCCAAGTTATAAATCTAAATTTTTTCTGAAAATAATTTTTATAGCCAAATCTCTGCAAATTGTATATTTGGGTCATGTTGACCAATTTGCATACAGTGAGGTTGGTTACACTCAATAACCAACACAGGTGAGGTGTGTTCTGTTCATTTTTCTGAGAGAACATGAAAATGATCAACTGTATTGCTTCATTATTGCAGTTTCACTGAATTGGTTTTACATATTCTACTTGTCTCGTCCACAGCATCTTATTTGTGGCACTTCTCTCTTTTTGGTGTGGTGCCTTGGGCATGTTGAGCTGTCAGGTAGAGAAGAGACGGTTTATGCCAGAAGTAACACTCCCATCTCTAGTTAGCTTTACTCTCTTAACTCACTGCCAGACTTACTCGTGTCCTGAAGGGGTCACTCTGGACTCTGAGAAAACTGAGAGAACAAGGTTTGAAACAGCCACACCCAGTGTGCTCAGGTAAGTGGGAGGAGACTTCATTTGTCTGGGAAATGTAGCCAGGCTCCTGCTAACTCCAAGAGGCATCACATTGGAATAAAAGCCCCTTCTTCCTTTTTTTTTTTTTTTTTTTTTTTGAGACAGAGTTTCCCTCTGTCACCCAGGCTGAAGTGCAGTGGCGTTATCCCAGCTCACTGCAACCTCTGCCTCCCAGGCTCAAGTGATTCTCGTGCCTCAGCCTCCCAAGTAGCTGGGACTACAGGTGCATGCCACCACGCCCGGCTAATTTTTGTATTTTTTTTTGTTTTGTAGAGATAGGGTTTCGCCGTGTTGGCCAGGCTGGTCTCGAACTCCTGGCCTCAAGAAATCTGCCTGCTTTGGCCTCCCAAAGTGCTGGGATTACAGGCTTGAGCCACCGCGCCCAGCCTAAAAGCGTCTTCTGACAAACAAAGGTGTGTTTTTGTTTGCTTCCCACCATTATCTATTTGTAACTGCTGATGGCTGCTAGGAAGATCAGTGGCACCTAAGTTGATTTTGCTTGATTGAGGAAACCTAGCTCATTGTAAACTCCAGGTAATGGATGGGATAGTCTTCTCTGCATTTTTTGTTTAAATTGAATTTTATTTCTGGGTGTCTATGAAGAATGCAGCCTTTGTGATCTCCTTAGGAACAGATTCTGGTTTGTACCAGGGCTATTTCCAAGAAGACAGTTCCAGGCTGGAGCCTGTGTGCCTTCCCGCTGGTTTCTTCCAGAGTCTCCTTGTGGAGAGAAAAAAAATCCCACACACAAAAAATGTACAAGGCTAGTGAGGGTGATGCTATACATATGCATTAAAGTGTAAGGCCAGCAGGTCCTCCCAGCTGTTAACTAAATGCATCAGCTCCGGGCACAATGGGTGAGCTTGTTAACCTTCCACCTCTGCTGAGGGAATTGGCAAGGGTGAAGTTGCTGGTGTCCTTTTGCATCTACAGCTATTTGTAGTACCAATAAAATGCTCATAATGGGCCCAGATGGTGATAGGGTTTGCTCATGAGCATCCTTGAACAGCATTCATATGCCTAATTGCAAAGTAAAGGAGCAACGTTTTAGTTTTTTAAATGAGAAGAATGGACTTTGGTGGAGGTCTGGATTTGAATCTGGGCTTTGCCACTTTCTAATTAAGTGACTGCTGTCAGGTTTTTGAGCTGGCTGAGTCTCAGCTTTCTCATCTGCAGGACGAGAATAGCATTAGACATCCCCAGCTCCCACGGGTGTTGTCAAGATTCATTAAGTACTGCTGGTAAGGTGTACAGCATAATGTTTTAACAAAGAGTAACTTTAAAGAATATTGATGATGAGGATGAGGAGGAGGAGGAGGGAGGAGAGTTCTCCCAAGTCCTGTGACCTGGAGACGCAGCCCCACAGAGGTAAGGTAAATGTTCCCAGGCCTCTAGCTACCTCTTCCTTGTTCCTCAGTTATTTGGATCTTTATCTGTTGAGGGCTGGTGTCCACATCTTCATCTCTTTATCAATTGCCCCTTCAGGAGGTTAGCAGCAGCCTCCGCATGAGCTCTTCTCTAATCCAAGGTCAGCAGGATGTTGACACCGTTGTTTGTGCGGCGCTTTCCCTCCACTGCGCTCTTTTGATATTTTCTTAAAATTTGATCCCTGATAGCTTGAATAGGGGCTCATCCCTGAGACTGAAACTCCATCCGAATATGTGGGTAAAGAGGTTCTTTGTACCTACTGAAAAGTGTTTTGCAGATAACTGTAGCTCTCTACTCAGGCTGTGGCTCCCACTGATGAAATATCCTATTGGTTTAGAGCCGGGGTCTGGAATCTGTCAGGCCCACTGCCTGTTTTTGTAAATAAAGTTTATCTGAAACCAGGCAGGCCCACTTTGCACATTATCTATGGCTGCCGCTCCCATAACAGTACAGGGGGGTGGCTGCATGAGAGACCATAGGGCCCCAAAGCCCACAAGGTTTACTGTCTGGGCCTTCACAGATAAAGCTGACCAACCTTCGGTTTGGAAAGCAGAAGGCTGTAGATCCTGTAGCACAGCCTAAGGACTTTGTGTTTCTGTAATTCAACATGTCATATGGGAGAGGTCTTATTTGGGAATTTAAAAAGTTTCTTTCATTAACTTTCAAGTCAAATGGTAGAAATACTGACCATTTTCTCCCCATGTTGAAATGTGGAAGCTTAAACATGCTCAGCATAGTATTTTATCAGAAGGTTTATATCAGTATATTTTTAGAAGCTTTTGTGACACCCAGTTTTCAAGTAGTTTGGCTAAATCCACTAAGCCATTAGGGTGAGTTAATAGAAGCTACTGTAAAGATCATGTCACTGGCTACTCTGTCAGCTGTCCCTGGAACTAAATGCTACAGCTGCATGCTGGTGACAGATCAGAAATAAAGCTAGATAGGGGGGTAGGAATGATAACCTGCCAAGAAAGGGAGATTAGCAGATCCCCCTATAGATGATATAGGGAAAGAAAAAGGAGGAGCAAAGGAGAACATGTTAAGCTGAAAGAGGACGCTGTGGAAACATGACAAGAATTCTCAAAGTCTTTCACAGAATGATGTTATGGTGTCCCCTAGTTGCTGTAAAATATTGGGAAGCAAACGAGTGTGGAGAATAATACTGGGACTCTGAAGGCAAGGATGAGTGAGAAATGGTTCAGGGAAGATTCGTGGCCAGGCAGGGAGGGCAGGACGTTGCATGAGGAGAGGGGGCCTCGCCAGCACTGGTATCTAGTCCTCTTCTGTTCCAAGAAACTTCGGGAGTGGAACATCCATCAGCTGGAGCTGGAAACCCTGCCCTGTGAGCTGGGTCCCCCATTTGGAGTGACAGTAATGTGTGGCCAGCAAAGGGTCACCAGCTACTGAGAGGCATCTGGGGGATACATTTTTAAAAGTTAGTTCTGTGGGCGGAAGGGTAGATGATAGGGAAGAATGAGATGATTTTGTAAAGTAAGAGGATCTAGGAGTAAGTAGGGTCTCAAGCATTGCAATGAAGAGGGTATAAAGACAGCTACCTTACGACCTTGGTTTATTGGAGAGAGAGAATGATGTTTTGTGGTGGCCAAATGCATTGCTGGTGAGGGGAATAGATTTCAGGTCCCATTTGTCGCTGCTAACAATTCATGTGAATGGGACAGTCACTCAACCTCCCACAGGCTCCGCTTTCTGTAAAATTGGGGTAAGTGGGATGGGAAAGAGGTGCGATGACATCTAGTGATGCTTCTAGATTCAAAGATGCTATTGCTTTATTTCTGTATCATATCTGCATTTAAATGTTGGTGACTCAAATCTATTGTCTATCACATATCTGTCTATCTATTCCTCAGATTATCTGTACATTTTATAAACAATTTTAAGTGCCTTCAGAATCTCTCATCTTTTCTGTTGCATGCATGGGTATTTTTGTTTTGGCTTTAAATACATTCATGAAGTTCAGTGACTCTCTTAAACACCTTGGATCTATCTATCTATCTACCTGTCTGTCTATCATCTATCTCACTTACCTACCATCTATCATCTCTCCATAATCTGTCTTGAAAAATGCTGCCATTGTTTGTTTTGCCTTAACAGGAATAAAATGCTATTTTTTTTTCTGTGATTTGAAAATGCCTTTTGCTTTTAAGAGTTCATCATTCCACACAGCTTGGTGGATGGGAAAATTCAGATTGTATGAGTTCTCTTTTGACTTCATTGTAGAGATTGAGTATATCAAGCAGGAAAAAATACATTCTAGCAAGTCACAAATAAAAAACAATAAAACATTGGGCTATTTTTTTTTAATTTACCTTGGAAAGTCACAGAATTTATGTGTTTCAGCAAAGTTGCCGCTAGAAAAGATGGGATAGTAGAACCAAGTCAAACAAAGAAAGGCTGCCCCTTCTTAAGTGCTGAGCACTGTCTCTCCGTCAGCTCTAATTCCCGTAACAACTCCAGAGCCAGGTATGATACTACTGCCATCCCCGTGTTAGGAGGAGAGTGCATTCCCAGGGAAGTTGATGAAATTGCCTGAGGAAGAAGTGTGGTGAGATCTGGACCCAGGCAGGCAGCCCCCACAGTGCTGCTCCTAACCACTGCACCACGCTGCCTCTGTCATTTCATCATGGGGGCACATGCTGACGTGACTGTAATTGCATCCTCACATTTGTGGCAGGGTTGGTGTGGCAAGTGAAAAGAGCACAGACGTGGCAGCCCCTCAGCCGTTTGCTGCCGTTTCTGCTTGCTCACCTACCAGAAGGGCAAATTCGGAAAAATGACTCCCCTTTGTTAAATGCAGACACAGTTATGCATCTTAGAGGATTGTTGTGAGGAGTAAAGAAGTTACACTTGTTAATCATCATAATGAGTGCCCAGGTAGATAATATTTTTCTTCTGTTATCCACTCGCTAGACGAGCATGTGTAGTTTTGTGTTAGGGCATGCAGTGGGAATAAAAGAAAGCTGGGCTGCAGGTATCAGCAAGTTTTCAGTTTACTTGAAAAGAAAAGAGAAAACAAATCATTCAGAATGACACATTGCATTTATCTATGCTTGTGCTTTATGTGTCTTGGAAACTAGGACCCTAAGCTGAGTTGACTTCGATAAGAATACTTTTCCTCAGATTATCTGTAAATTTTATAAACAATTTTAAGTGCCTTCAGAATCTCTAATCTTTTCTGTTGCATGCATGGATTTTTTTTTTTTGGCTTTAAATGCATTCATGAAGTTCAGTGACTCTCTTAAACACCTTGGATGTTTTTTTTTTTCTTTTTAACTGAGAAAGAGATTTGACAGAGAGAGTCTTCATCACCATTGGTTTAACCTTTAAGAAGTTTGAGATTGAGAAGCTAATACTCAGAAAATAATCTTCTAAGAGTCTGCAAAAAACCCACATGCATGAATATTAAACAAAAAAAGTATATTATTATATGGTTGTCATCAAATTAAACTTAAGTGAAAATAGTATTTCCTATTTAGACAAGTTCCTTGAAGAGCCCCATTTTGCTTATGATGCATCCTTTTCAGGTGAGATGACTTTTCATTATTAACTATTGATAAATTGAATAAATTTCCCTCAGTGAAGGTCACCCTTAATTATCAGGGCTCACCTAATCAAGAACTTCTCTCTCCCTTTGTGTTGAAACAGCTGATTGACCAAAAACACTTGCATAATAGCCTTGTGTTGCTCTTTTCCCACCTGAGGTAATCAATCACCCTGTTTCTTTGCTTTTGAAAGAGGAATATTTGTAACTTCTAGCGATTCAACCACTGTCCCCACTGTGGAAATACCAATGTAGGAGAATTCTTGATACATGCAAGTTATCCAGATCCCTAAATAAGCAGTATTTTGTAAAAGGATGATATTTCCCTGTTTAAGTTTAAAATTTCTACTTTAATGAGAAATCAATTTTGCATCATCTCTTTGGACATCGAGTTTACCTCCCTGCTGTCAGAGCTGTGCAGAAGAAAGCAGAGTCTATGAGTCTTCTCACCACAGCATAGAAAGATTTTTTTTTTTTAAACACGTAGGGGAATTATGCTGAGGGCCTATTGGGCTTCTGGTAAGGACAGCTGCAAGTAAGTTGATACCATTTGGGCTCGGCCTCAGATTCACTGCCAGCCCTGGGTGGGCAGCTGGCCTGTGCTTCGGTGTGGAACAACAGGCTGACTCCAGTAACGTTGGTCCCGGGCTCTGGAAAATCCTGGGCAGACAGGACAAATGCTTTAGGGAACAACTGCTTTGAAAGAATAGACTGTTTGAAACTCCCAGCTGTGAGGGCCATTTGTGAGAAAGACTCCATGCCAGGGTGAGGGTCAAAAACAGCTGCTGCCTGGGGCTTACATTTCCAACCAGAGTAAATTGCTGGCTCCAGGACAGAATTTTGATCATCTGTGGATTTGTTAAAATTCAGCTGCCGATGTCTATGGGGTCATAACTCTGGACCCCAATCTAAATGTCTCTTGGCATTTGGGCCTTTACCAGCTAAAAGCAGCCCCCCTAAATAGTCCTCTACTCCCATCTGAGGTGCCACAAGCATAGCTTTCATATTGTTTCTTTTAAAATAAATCCAGGTTGGGCACGGTGGCTCACACCTGTAATCCTAGCACTTTGGGAGGCTGAGGCAGGTGGATCATCTGAGATCAGGAGTTCGAGACCAGCCTGGCCAACATGGTGAAACCCTGTCTCTACTAAAAATACAAAAATTAGCCAGGAGTGGTGGCGCACTCCTGTAGTCCCAGCTACTCAGGAGGCTGAGGCAGGAGAATTGCTTGAGTCCAGGAGGCAGAAATTGCAGTGAGCAGGGATCGTGCCACTGCACTCCAGTCTGGGCAACAGAGTGAGACTCCGTCTCAAAAAAAAAAAAAAAAAAAAACATAAATAAATAAATAAACAAATCCATAATGTCAAATCTTCTAGCCTCCCACTTCGTCAGGCAATATCCATAGCACTTAGTACAGCAGTGAATATTCAGCAAGCTCTAACCATGTATTGGTCGAATGAAAGAATAGTTATCTATGTTAGATAATGATTTTCCAAAAGACCTATGAGGAGGATAAGGTGACTTCCCCAATTCAGGGGATGGTGTAAAGAAGGTGTTGCCTCCTCTTCTTTGAGAAATCGTGTACAAGTGGCCGGGCACAGTGGCTCATGCCTGTAATCCCAGCACTTTGGGAGGCTGAGGCAGGTGGATCACCTGAGGTCAGGAGTTTGAGACCAGCCTGACCAACATGGAGAAACCCCGTCTCTACTGAAAATACAAAAATTAGCTGGGTGTGGTGGTGCACGCCTGAAATCCGAGCTACTCGGGAGGCTGAGGAAGGAGAATCACTTGAACCCGGGAGGCAGAGGTTACAGTGAGCCAAGATAGCACCACTGCACTCCAGCCTGGGCAACAGAGCGAGACTCTGTCTCAAAAAAAGAAAAAAAATAAAAAGAAATCATATACAAGCAAGAAGGAGATCAAGGAAAACACCCCCCACGCACCCCAGCTTTGGAGAAACTGAGATAAGAGTAACCTGTAAGTAAGTAAGCTCAGTAAGTAAAGGAGTGCATGGGAAGTCAAACCTGCATTCAGGAATGTGTGGGCGGGGACATTGTGAGTGCTGAATGCCCACAGCACGGTGCTCCAGGGCGGGGTAAGTGCCAGTGGGAGAGGAGAATCCAACAGTCCTGTCTCAGGGAAAAGGGAGCTTCTCCAAAGTCCTTTGCTTAAAGGGAAGTCAAGGCGGATGGGGATGAAGGAGCAGTCAGAGGCTGGCTGTATTTTCAGGAAGTGGTTTGCAGTAGATCTCAGTGGTGTGGCGGGAACCCTAAGCTAAAATAACTCATGATGCACCATTCAGAGGCCTGCACAGACACTGCCTGGTGACGCTCCACAAGGAACCAGGGCAGCAGCAGGTGGGTGAAATCAATGAATTCCAACAAGACACATTCCTACACAAAAAGCTATTGTAAGAAGAAAGGATCAGAGGAAATGGCAAAATGAATGGCAGATAAAAAATACAGTATTATTATGAAGCAGATTAAAGTTATGACCAAAAAATGCAAGTGGATTTAAAAATAAAAACAAAGACAGGAATGAAATAATCTAAGCAATAACTTTTACAACACTGGAGCAGGAAGCAGAGACCTGAGCAGTGAGGCGAGACGCAGGGTGGGAAGGGAGGGGAGCCTGGCCTGGGTGGGCTTCAGGAAGGAGGTGAAGAGAGAAAGGAAACTCTGCCGCAGTGGTTGAGTGTTCAATGGGAGGCAGCACAAAGGACCATCTGCCGTGTTGGAAACAGAATCGGAGAGAAGGGTAGGATCAGAAACGACAGCAAAACAAAATAGATATGAATAAAGAGTTCAACTAAAGATCAGATAAAGAATAACATACCTGGGTCTGGGCGAGGTGGCTCAGGCCTGTAATCCCAGCACTTTGGGAGGCCGAGGTGGGCGGATCTGGAGGTCAAGAGATCGAGACCATCCTGGCCAACATGGTGAAATCCTGTCTGTACTAAAAATACAAAAATTAGCTGGGCGTGGTGGTGCACGCCTATAGTCCCAGCTACTCAGGAGGCTGAGGCAGGAGAATCGCTTGAACCCGGGAGGCAGAAGTTGCAGTGAGCAGAGATTGTGCCACTGCACTCCAGCCTGGAGACAGAGTGAGACTCAGTCTCAAAAAAAAAAAAAAAAAAGAATAACATACTTGGAAGACAGATGATCTTCAACACATGAGTGATTCATGTCCCTGAAGGAGGAAACCAAAAATTAGAATAGAACAAACATTTCAAGAAATAATTAAATTAGGGCCAAATGGAATTCCAGGAGAAACTGATGCAAATTGACATACTGGAGATACCTTAGGAGGCCGTGGACTTAAAAAAAAGGCATAATTCCTTGGGAACCCAAGCAAAATGATCTAAGAATAAAACATTCCCAATGGCTCCAGGCGGCTTCTCAGTAACTGCATAGACAGAAGGAGGCCTTCAAGAGCAGGGCAAACGTGAGGAAAATCAGAAAGGTTTAAAACAAAAGAATAAGTAAATTCCTAGCAAATGCAAACAAAAGTAAATCCAAAGGTCCTCATTTTATATCAGGCTTTAAGGCAGAGAGTATGGAACACTTAGACAAATATGGGCACTTAAAATAGCAAAGAATACAATCAGCAATGAAGATATCACAAAAGGTCTGTCTACCAAGTAACACAGCATCAATATTAAAAGCAAAAACAAATGTTTTATATATACATGTAAACAGAAATACAAGGAGAAATAGACACATTAATGAGTAAAGGAAAACTTTGATTATTTTTCTTAATGCATCACAGATCCACTAGACTAGAAAACCCCATATTTAATAAGGCATATCTAATTGAGATGTCAATACTGTACCCTTAAAACAGAATATATATTTATTTTCAAGTATCAATAAAATAGTCACAAAAATTCACCAAAGAAATCATACTAATTTCCAGAGTAGAAATAGTATGCAGTATTCTTTGATCACACTGAAACTAGAAATTAAAAACAAGAAATCCCTAACTCTCATAAAGGAAGAATAAAACAGTAATAAAACCAATAATGATAATAACAAAGTATATCTCTTGTAAGGTACTATTGAGTGAAAGAGAAAATAAAAACTGAAACTGGTGGATATCTGAAAAATAAGAATAAGAAATTCTTCAGAGAAACTTGGGAACAAAAGATTGCAGACTTGAGTAATAGTAATAGTTTTAAATACATGCGTTAATGTCAAAGGGAGATGAAAAGAGGTCAATGATGAATCCAACTCGAAGTAAAAAAACTATTAAAATAAAGAAAGGAGGAGACAAATTAGTAAAGATAAGAACAGATACTGCATTAAAAGCAAAATCTGATAGCAGTAATACATTTAAAAGCTAGATCTTGATATAAAAAAGGAAATAAAAAAGATGAACTGTTGACAAAGTTAAGATAAACATTGAGAATACAAATGCATAAATAGGTAATAATTACAGGTTGGAAGAAATGAAAGAATTGTAACAAATTACTCGTTTTGGTTCTGTACAAATATTTCGAAACCCTAAAACAGAACAATTTACTAATATTCACCCCAAATAAAAAGGAAACTTTTAATGAGTTGAGTTATTGTAGGTGAAATATGGAAAGCTATCAAAAGCTACCTTTCAGAAAAAGAATCAGGCCCTGATTATTTCATAGGGAAATTCTATCAAACACTTAAGGAATACATGATTCCAACATGATTAAAATATTCTGGAACATATAAGTGTGCCGAGATCACGCCATTGCACTCCAGCCTGGGCGACAGAGCGAGACTCTGAAAAATATATATAATATATATGTGTGTGTGTGTATATATATATATGTGTGTCTGTGTGTATGTATGTATTATTGTATCTGTAGTTTTCTGCTGATATGCTATTTTAGTCAAGGTTAGCAAAATAATGGTAAATTCATAAAAAATATTTTAGAAACCGTGCTCTTTCCCTCCAGAGATATATATATATATATGTATATCTCGCTATATATGTATGTATCCAGTGTTTGATATATATGTAGTGTTTGATAGTGTTTGATATGTATGTATATCTGGATATAGATATATCTCTCTAGGACATATAGAAGGGGAAAGGGCATGGTTTCTAAAATATTTTTTATGAATTTACCATTATTTTGCTAACCTTGACCAAAATAGTATACCAGCAGAAAAGTACAAATACAATAATCTTATATAAAATATTAGCAACAAAATTCAGTGGCACCATTAAAGAATAAGATACATAAAATGGAGTTTATTTCAGAAATTCAGGGATGGTTTAATTAGGAAAACTAATATAATTTATGACTTTAATAGATTAAAAGAGAAAAATGGTAAGATGATTTCCAAAAGTGCCAATATTCCATGTACATTCCTAATTATAGGAGGAATAAAGGGATAAACGTATGTCTCAACTCATCTATCTTATCCCAATGCTTGTAAGGAAAATACCGGATATATTTCTATTAAAGTAAGGCACAATAGAAAAGTATATCCATCCACCTATCATCACCATTATTTAGCGTTGTATCAAAGGTCTAGCCAAGATTATATGATGAGGGAGAGAGGGAGGGGGAGAGAGAGAAAGAGAGAGAGCATGCTAAGAGATGTAGAAGTTGGAAAAGAGAGATAAAATTTTTATTTGCAGATGATATGATTGTTTACTAAACATCCACAAGAACCAACAGGAAAAGTACAGGTGAGGTGCTGAATACAAAACTAAAAATATGCAGGGATCAGCAGTCTCTATGTTTATAAACAAAACCAGCTAGAGATAGAGATAGAGTGGAAGAAGAGGCCTCACAATAGTGAACACAAAGATGAAATGCAAAGGTATAATTTTAAAAGACTTGCATACCTATGTGAAGGATCCCTTAAACTGTACGAAAAGACACAAAATCAGTTTTGTACAAATTAAAGTTTACTCTGTTTTAGATAGGAAGACTTATTATCATAAAGCTCTAATTCTCTCTAGGTCAATCTATAAACTTAATGAGATTTCAATAAAATTACTGATGAGTATTTTCTTTTGGAGCCAGATAAGCTGATTTTAAGGTTTCTGTGGAAAAATAAACGCACAAATTTTAGCCATGACATTTTGAAATAGGAAAATAAAGAGCTGGAATGTTCCATAAATTTAAAATAATGTGATCCACATTATAAACAGATAAATGAAACAAAAATAAGCCCAGATACATTTTGTACATTATAAAGGTGGGATTTCAAATGAGGAGGAAAATGTTGATATCCAGTAAAATCAGGGGGAAATGTTGAAGGAATTGTGTCCCAATATCTGGAAGAAATTAGATTTCCCGTTTTATATCAAACAAGTTCCTAATTAAAAAACTAAATGTGTAATAATAAAATTATAAGAATTATTGGAAGAAAATATAGGATAATCCTTACAAAATATTATTGGGACAGGGAAATGAAAAAAATGGACTGATGAGTTTAATTACATAAAACTAAAGAAAATGGTGCATGGCAAAAGTATAGCAAATGGAGTTAAAGGAAAATGAAAAAGAAAAAATTATTGCAACTTATTTCACAAACAGCTTAATTTCTTTAACATATAAAGAGCTTCTATAAATCTGTAAGAAAGTTGCCAATGATGCACTGGGAAATGGGCCAAAGGTATGATCTATCACAGTGAGAAAAAGATCATGTGGCTCTTCACCACAGGAAAAGATGTCCAACCTCCCTCATAGTAAGACATAGTCAAATTAAATCTAAGATAACATTTTTTACCTACAAACTGCAATGCCCAAAAAGTTCGGTATTGCAAGAGTTTTGCAATGATGTAGAGAGAGACAGGCACTAATTGCTTTGGTGAATACACATTTTTCAATCTTTATAGAGAACAAGTAGGTAACATTTTGTCAAAATTACAAACTATGCATACCTTTCTAGGAACTGAGAGTTCAACAATTGCATGTTCCAAGAATTTACCCACACACATTCTCATACTTATGCAAAACAACACACGTGCAAAGATATTTATTGCAGCACTTTTTTATGGTAGCAAAAGAGTGTCATTAGACTAGAAGTCCATCAATAGGAAAATAGGAAACTGGTTAAATAAATTATGATATATCCACAGAAGAGAAAATTAAGCATCTGCTAAAAAGAATGAAGCAGCTCTGTATGTACTGATGGCGAATGATCTCCAAGAAATATTATATGAAAAAGGCAACAAAGCAGTATGATTAGTGTGTTACCATCTGTGTAAGAAAATATTTGTTTCTGGAGGGGTGGGGGTAGGGAAAGAGGGAGAGAAAGAGAGAGAGAGACAGAGACAGAGAGAATATCTATTTGAAGTGCTTCATAAGAAACTTGAAGAAACTGTGGGGTGGGGGTGGTCTAGGCAGGGAAGGGAGGATTATTTTCCATTGACTCCAACCTTGTACTTTTAGAATTCTGAAGCAGGTGCGCACATTACCCACTGACCGTAGTTACAAAATAAAAGTCTAGGAATAGCTATTTCATAATATCTCTTGACCATTCCCAGATTTAAAAAAGCCTCTATCATATTTAAAAAACATGCCATAATGGTGACCAGTGTCTTTGTGTCTGACCCTCTGTAGACGAAGTGTCAGCACACCTGAACGATGCACACCTGAACCGATTATTTCTTTCTGGAAAACTCCTTCAGTTTCTCCTTAACATAGAAGAGAGTTCTAACAACGGAGTGTGCAATCCCAGGACTGCACACCCTGCCCTTGGCTCCAGTCTCCAATCTCATCTGCTAACTCTCCCTGCTCCTTCATGCTCCAACTTCTAGCCGAGGGGACGACTTCCCAGCTCCGTGGTCATTCCAGTCTCTCTTTCATGCACAGTCTGCATCTTTTGCCCAGGAACTCTTCCTCCCTTTTCTTTATGTAGCTACTGTCAAAACTGACCTTGAAGACCTAGCTTGGGCATTTTAGTGCCTGGGACCTTCTGATCCTGTGCCCCATGCGCCCATGGCCTTTGTGCTGTGTTGACCTCAGGACTCTGCACATTGTCATGGTTGTTGCTCTCCTTGCCTGGACTCTCTCTAGACGGGGGACTCCTTAAGGACAGGGACTATGCCGTACTTATCTTTGTATCTGCAGGCCCTTGCACAGAGTAGGCATTGGCTACACAGGTGCTCATAAAATGACAAGTGGCTCTGCAGGATGCAGTGGGGACATTTTGATTATCACTGGAGGGAATGTGTGGGCTTTGATAGAGGAAGAGCCACTCTACCTATAAGTCCATCCTTGGTGGCTGTGAACCCAGAACGGCGATGGCTCTTGCTCTTGGGTCCCTTGTTTTTCCTTCTCGAGGTTGGTGCGGCCTGAAAAAGCAAGAGTTCCCTTGGAGTAGTCCCGAGTATGGGTCTGGAGTTCCTTGTGGAGGTGATGCTTGAATTCAGTTTCTTCTGCTTGCTCCCACAATGCCCCATCCATACCTATCCCTTACTAAACTCACACTTGGTGGCCCAGGATCTCAAAGTGTACTTCCTTCCTGCGCTCACCTGCCACCCAGAAACTTGTTGTTGTGGGCTTTTCCTGAACTTCAGGACCACCGATACCATCCTCTCCGATTCTCTTTGCTTATTTCATAAAAATATATGGC
Organism: Homo sapiens; assembly: GCF_000001405.40. Classification (NCBI taxonomy): domain Eukaryota; kingdom Metazoa; phylum Chordata; class Mammalia; order Primates; family Hominidae; genus Homo; species Homo sapiens. Next base: position 163,789,141 of record NC_000006.12, read on the forward strand.
ATTCCAGAGTCCCTGCCCTCTTCTCCCCAGTCAACCATGCTCCAAATGCAGTTGCCTACCTCCTGGTTACTCTGAAATCTGCCTGTTTCTGTCCAGTTTTCTGTCCAGTCCCACTGCTGAGATCATCTTTGCTGCATTGGCTGGAGTTACCTCCTCACCCTGCACTTCTGTCCTCCAGTCTATTCTCCACTTGGCGTCTGGATTCATCTTTCTGAAAGGTGACCCTCAGCATGTCATTCTCCTGGTTAAAACCCTCCAAGAGGATTAGGATAAATGTCAGACTCATTAGGATGACTTTGCGTTTCCTGCACAGTCTGGCAGTTTCTCACCTGCCCAAGCTCATCACTGGTTGTCACTATTTCAGTCTCAGTTCCTTGAAGATTCCTACAGTTCTCCCACAGGTCCTGGGGGCTCTCAGCACGTCCTCTTACCCGGCCTTCATGTTGTTTCCCTTAGAAGGCCTTGCTGAATCCCACATACATGGGCTCAGTTCCCCTTCTCATTTCTCTGTCTGCATCCTCTTCTGCTGCTGTCTCCACACTTGTCATCCTTTGTTGTAATCATCTCTTTAAATATCATAGGTTCAGTGAGGGCAGGGGTGATACAATGTGCGTTTTGGTCTGATTGCATTTCTAGTTGTTAGCAGAGTCTGGCATAGAGCAGGGGGTCCACTGATCTTTGCTGAATTAATCAGTAAATGAAAGTGCAAAATGTCCCCAGCTAGACCAGGGAAGTAATGAAAATGTTGGGATCCTTGACGCCAACATTGGTGGAAGCGGTGGAGTAGAAGGGTCGGGAAGGGAGATGATTTGGGAAGGAGTGGAGAAGGTCTTTCTCCTTTCCTGCTAATTACCTTGTCCATGGCTGCCTATGAGTATTTACTTAAGCTGACTTCCCTCTAAATTTTATACATTATATGTAACATTATATATATATATAAAAATCTTATTATATGATAACATATCATTATAATTTATAGCTGCCATTATAGTATTATAATAACGTTAAAGAAAGTTTTAAGCAGAAACAATTTTATCCACAATTTCACCAATGTATCTACTGTTTTCATCATTGCATTTTCTTTGCATTCTTTGCTCATATTTATGCTTGTTCTTATGTAGCCATAATCATGATTTATATTCTCTTTGTTTACTTCCTATTTCACTGTAAGATATTCTCCCTTCATTGTGTATTTCTGAAGACAGCGAGCAGCTTGGGTCTTAGCTTTCTCTGTTCCAAGTTAAATAAGCTTAAATCCTCCAGCATTTTCTCAAGGGTCTTAGTTTCCACTCACTTAGCCGTTGTAGCTGCGCATCTCTGGATCCTTTCCAGACACAACACATTCCTCAAAATGAAGAAACCGAAGCTACACCCTAGTACATGCTGATCCCTTGTTTTTCATCTTTGCAGAATAATCTGTATTGTTCAGCTGTCATTTCATTGCAGGCTGCGCCCTATTTTAAGAAAATGGGTTACTTGAAAAATCCACATTTACAATACAGATTAACTGGAGAGCAATTATTATTCACAAAGGGTTCTTTGTCTTTAAAAAGATTTACTGTAATATATCTTTAAATAGCAAAATTTCTGGCACATGTGAAGCAGGTTTGATTGAGAACAGCATGATTTACATATGACTTTTGGGGAACAAAGCTACTATGTAAAATGAGGTGCACTTACTCTGTCAGGGGCAAATGTCCACATCATTCTGCCAATGCCCAAGGGCCCTACATTTCTGATCTCTGAGTTGGGCCTTTAAACCTAATTTGTAGGCTTTGGTTGTCCTTATTTCAGACCAACTATGGGACAAAATTTAGTGCCTCATGTAGGGCTTGGCTGGTTTCATGTTGTTGTTCATTAGACACAAAAATAAATGTATCTTGAAATTTTCATTTAGCATTAGGGGAAGTTAATAGACTCCTTCAGTCTCTCATAGGGCTATTTAATGAACTGAACTATAAGAGTCTGTTATGTTTGTTATAGTTATATTGGCTAATAATATGCCTTCTATTTGTTCAGTATGCAAAATTATTATTTATTATAAGTCCTCACCGCTTTTCACCCTCCATTTAACTCCAGTGCTTAGGAGACAATAGACATTTCACATGAAAACTTATTGTTGCTTTGACTAATAAATATTATAATACTACTTTTTAAAAGAACTTAGCTTCTAGAATTTCTGAAGACTGAAGCAAACTTGCATCATGGGGAAAAGACTTATAGATCATGGGTGTCTTTTTTTGGTGAATTTGATGAAAAAGAAGGTGAAAAGACAACTCACAGACTAAGAAAATTATTGTAGTTATATTATTCAGTATTCAGGATCTAGTATACAGAACTTACAAAGAATCCTTACATTTAAAGTATAAAAAGACATAACCCAATTAAAAGTGGGCAAAAGATTTGAGTAGATATTTCTCCAAACATGATATATAAATGGCCAAAAAGCTCATGAAAAGAGCTCATGAAAATTGCAGTGACACACCATGTCACACCTACTTAGTTGCCAATAACAATAGTAATAATAATAATAATCAGATAATAACAAGTGCTGGTAAGCATGTAGAGAAATGGAAACCTTCTTCCATTTATGTGGGAACGTAAAACAGTTCAGCCATTGTGGAAAAGTTTGTCAGTTCCTCAAAAAGTTAAACAGAATTACCATATGACCCAGAAATTTCACTCCTAGATATATCCAAGAGATTTAAAAACATGTCCACACAAAAACTTGTACACAAATGTTTATAGCAGCATTATTCAAAATAGCAAAAATGCAGTAACAGCCCGAAGGCCCATCAGCTGATGAATGGATAAACAAAATGTGGTTTATCCATTTATCCCTACAATGGAATATTATCCAGCCATAAAAAGAAATGGAGTTCTGATGCATGCTGAGACGTGCTTGAACCCTGAAAACATTAAGGTGCATGAACAAAGCCAGGCACAAATGACCACGTATTTTATGAATCCATTTACAGTCATGCGCTGCATAACGACATTTTGGTCAACAACAGGCTGAGTGTATAACGGTGGTCCCATAAGATTATGACACTGTATTTTTCTTTACATTTACTGTGGTTAGATATATAGATACCACTGTGTTACAATGGTTTACAGTATTCAGTACAGTAACATGCTGCACAGGTTTGTAGCCTAGGAGCAATAGGCTGTACCATGTAGCCTAGGTGTATAGTAGGCTGCACTATCTGGGTTGTGTAAGTGCACTCTATGATGTTTGCACAGCAACAAAACTGCCTAACAACATGTTCCTCATAACATATTCCCATTGTTAAGCAATGCGTGACTGTATAGGATATATCCAGAACATGGAAATCCATAGAGACAGAAATAGATTAATGGTTGCCAGGGGATGGGGGTGAAAACGGGAATTGGAACGAACTGCAAATAAGTCAGGGGTTTCTTTCTGGAGTGATGGAAATGTAGAATTAGATAGTAGTGTGGTCACACAGCATAGTGAATATATTAAAAATGACAATTTGTACACTTAAATAGTTATATGAATTATATCTCAATTTTTAAAAAAGGTTGAGTTGATAAGACTCTTGTTAAAGACACTTGTGGGTGCTGTAAACAGAGCACTGAAAGAAAAAGTGCCGTGTAAGAGCTAAGAAACTAAAGGAAAAAAGCGAAATGATTCTCTACTCAAACGTGTACAATTCCCATTTAAACCAGAAGTTGAAGAAGGATCAAGGCTAATCGTCAAGGTCTAATAGAAAAAAAACTCATTATACCTTGTACCAATTCTCATAACACCCCTATCTTCCTAGTAAAACAATACAAGCAACAACAAACAGAAACAAAACCAAATACAAACAAACCAAGACATAACAATACTGGGCAGGGATGCAGATTTGTTTAGGACCTCAGGACCATAAATAGAATAGTCGGTCCCTCCTTCCCTGTAGAACAAAACTCAAATGCTAATTCTGTCTTTGGTGCCTCCTGAGAATGCATATTTTATATTTGTGTATTATGTTTTGCTTTCTTTCATGTTCCTTTATATCAACATAGCAAATATTTGCTTTCTCCTGGGAAAATTAGTGGAATCTTTAGTTTGTTATGCTCCAAGGATTACTAAGGCATTGCTTACTTTTCCTTCACTGTGACCTCAAGGACTCTAAATTTCCCTGTGATTCTATTGTTATCCAATATGTAGGTGACCTTTTGTTGTGTTCAAAAGATGAGGTAAGCTTTAAGACAGATTGCATCTCTACTTACTGTTTTAGTTCAGAAGGAGCAGCAGGTTTCCAAAGAGAAGCTACAATTTTGTCACAGCAAACTTCATTATCTAGGGCATGCTTTATCCGAAGCAGATAAATCTCTTACTTAGCACAGACTACAGAGCCTTCAAAATTTGCCCAGGCTAGTAACTAAGAGACAATGAAGAAGTTTCTGGGTCTCACTTGTTACTGCAGACAGTGGGTTCCTAACTTTTCTGCAATTGTCACACCACTCTATGACTTAACCAAATTCTTGGTGACCAGACATCCTTCCCAGAAGCCTAGACATGAACAAGTTTTCTTTCTGTGAGTTCAAGTTAGCCGTTTAACAACTCCCACCCTGCTCACCTAATCCTCTCTGCATATTTTTTATGTAAGAGACAAGCCCTTTGTGCTCTGACTCAGCCTGGGAAATCATCAAGACCAAGAGCTGTTATGACTCAGTGGCAAAAACCTGTGCATATAGTCAATGAGCAACAGCCGCAGTAGCTAAGCTAGTGGAGGCTTTGCTGACTTGATGTTGGGGTGTCCTGTGATTTTTTTGGTCAATCATGTTGCAGAATCTTTGTTGCTCATTAAAAACTCACAACATTTCTTAGCAAGTAGGCTTACCTCCCATGACATCCTATGACTTTACCCCTCATATACTTAATATTCACGAATCTGTTAAATTCTACTACTCTTCTTCCATTTCCTCGAAAAAGGGGAAACCCCAACCTCTGCTTGTGAACTATCCATATTCCTAATAAATTTACTAGAAGCCCCTTTAAAAAATGCAAACTGATTGTTGATGGGTCATGGATTAAGACTGAAACAGGACAATATTAGGTAAGTTAAACTGAAACAAATCTCATTTCATCCCGGGCAAAAAAATGCCTTACCAGAGCCAAAATCTACCCAGACTGGAGGAAGAGATAAAAAACAGTTAATATGTACACTAGTAGTAGTTATGCTTTTAGGGAAGTCCTTGGTCTTGGAATGCTTTGGAAACAAAGAGAGCTTTTGACTTCAGTAGGAGCCCCAATTAAGAATGTTCAGCAAATTAAAGAATGTTTGAGGCTGGGCCTGGTGGCTCACGCCTATAATCCCAGCACTTTGGGAGGCTGAGGTGGGCAGATCACGAGGTCAGCAGTTCGAGACCAGCCTGGCCAACATGGTGAAACCCGGTCTCTACTAAAAATACAAAAATTAGCCAGGCTTGGTGGCGCCCGCCTGTAATCCCAGCTACTCAGGAGGCTGAGGTAGGAGAATAGCTTGAATCCGGGAGGCCAAGGTTGCAGTGAGCCGAGATCCTGCCACTGCACTGCAGCCTGGGACAGAGCGAGACTTTGTCTAAAACAAACAAACAGAATGTTTGAGTGCTCTAAGGCTACTATAAACGAAGATCAAGTTCATACAAAATGGAATAGTCTGGAGGCTCAAGGCTGATGGTGGGGGATTGGTTCCAGAACCCCCATGAGTACCCACATCCATAGCTACTCAAGTCCCTTAAATAAAATGGTGTAACATGAATATAACCTCTGCTCACCCTGTCATATCCTTTAAGTCATCTTTAGATTACTTATAATACCCTAATATAATGTCAATGCCATATAAATAGGTGTTATGCTGTATTGTTTAGGGAATAATCACAGGAAAAAAAGTCTGTACATGTTCAGTACAGATGCAACCATTTGTGTCTTTTCCTTGATATATTCATCCCCAGTTGGCTGAATCTCCAGAGAAAGAACCCATGGATACAAAGGGCTGACTATATTATGGCAGACAAGCAGCCCCCCATTGAGATCCTAACCTTCATAGTACACCAAGAGACTAAATCTTTGGAAAGGTTCAAAGACATTATTATAGAATGCAAGAGATTAGCTCCAAAGTACAAACAAAAAACAAAAAACCTCAAATGGATGCTTAGAAAATTTTTTGCAAAAAATTACTCACTGCAGGAAGGAAAAATGGCCAACACAGTCAACATCAATGGGGAAATTTTGCTAAAATTGTTAAGGTTGTGTGTGCATGGGGGTCTGTGCTGCATGTCTCCATCTGACCAGCAGAACACTGTTAAAATGGTAAAAGTGGGTGAAGGTGGAACATGGGCAAGAGCCCAACCCTCAGCACCCGTTTGCTTATCTCCAAGTGGATTTCATTTAACTACCCTCTTCATTGGGTTTTGGATATGTCTTGAAAATTGTCTGCATATTTTTAAGATGGACTGATGCCTTTCTTTGCTGAAATGCTACAACTCTCATAATAGCAAAAAATTACTTGATTTTGTGTTCCTAATCTTGGAGATTATGACCAATCTCTTAAGTAACAAGGGACTCCACTTTATTGGGACTGGTACCAAAGAGCTTCTCAAAGCCAAGGCCCTTACTCAGAAACTTTACTGTCTACATCATTTCCAATCTCCAGGAAAGGAAGAAAGAACAAGAAAAATTCTAAAACTCAAAGTACAAAATTTTCAGGGATTCTAGAAATTGTAGGACCCAAGGTATTACCATTGGCTTTAGTGACAAGGTCAACTGTTTCTAGGACTCATTGATTCTACATGGATTCGTGACAGGTAGGCTCATATATCTGTGATACCACTTCCAATCCTAGACACCACACAATTGCAGATAGACATGGTCAAATATTGCTGGAACTTTTGCAGTATGTCCCATTGTATCAATAAGTGCAAACAGCATTTTCTCAACGTCCTTCTAAACAATCTTTATGTTACTTAGAACTTAAATACCTGCTCTTCTGAAAGAGACACCAGAGAAAGACAGCTTCCAAGTCCCAATGGAAAGGATATTATCAAAGGCTATTAACAACTATCACAGTAGTAAAATTCCAAGAGGTCAATTATTGGATTCATGTTTTTCAATTATAGAGCAAAAAACTGTCTTCAACTCACTAGAAGACTTTCTTTATTAAAGATCTCAAGTCGAAGCTTCTTAGAACCCCCCAGAAGCAGATAATCTTCAGAAAGAGACAGCTTCTACCTAAGAACTTTGAACTAAGTTAATGACTACATGAGATGTGGACAGCTTGTACCTGAGGTCCACAGAATGGGACTACAGATATTCATGCTTCAATTTGCATTCTTTCATTCTTTATTCTTGTAGCTATGGTCTTCTTTTGTTAGTTATGTGTAACCTATGTTACACATAAGACCCAGTTCTTAACATTGTTCCTTGCATTCTTATTTACTCCTTTGTATGGGTACCACATCTGGCTACAATTTACTTGTGAGCTGGCTAAAGCGTACAACTAAACTGACTGTTGGATTTTTATGCATTTTTCTTTGGAGCTATTCAGTTTCCCTTAGTTCCAGCTTCTTGTAATTAATCAGTTGATCTTATGGGTCTCACTAATTAATGAAATAACTGGACTCAACCATTAGGAGATTTTATTTTAGTTGTCAAACACAACAAAAACTAGAAATCTAAACAAACCTTATCTTCTCGTACTGGAAAAGGAAGTTCATGTCACCACCAGAACAATACTTGGGGATCTTTCATGGGAGCTAGCTTTGGTAACCGAATTCTCACAGAAATATAATACAGAAGAGAATTAAGGAGTACAAGGTGGGTATCCCTTTTACGAATCTTACAAGTAAGACACATCACTTTTAGTTTGCTTTAGAATTACCTACTCATTTAGATACTAAAAAATTTATTGCCTAGCAGTGAACTGTTATTAAGCGGCACTAAAACATCCCAACACTATTTAACAATCCTGTAGAATGTTTTTGCCAAAAATATATCATTCCCCCCATTGACTGGTATTGGATTTATGGCACAAAACATGCTGACTATTAAACAGAAACTGGATTGGAACTTGCTACTTTGGTAAACTGGTGCTTGTCATCAGAATAGTTGATGAGAACTGAATATTCATTTTGATCCATTCATTTCTCTTCTGGGAGAGTAGATCATTTGATAAGGAGAAAAACTGGACCTTGATTTAAGAATAAAAACTAATAAATTTTCTCTTTTCGTCTTAACTTTATGTTTTACAAGAGACCCAGAAATTAAGGAAAGTCTTTCATGCCATGGTTTAGAGACTAGCAACCATTCCCAGTAAAATGGAATTCCCTGTTACTTAAGATATTGGTCATAGTCCCTCGAGGATCTAGAAAGGCTTTATGAGGAAGTTAATGAAATAGGTCAGAGAATAAGAATGTTGTACTTATATGGTGAAGACCTTGCTGGAATCTTTAATATTAAGAACATGTGTGGAAAATAAACACATCAATCATAACATTACTTAATTTTGTTAATAACCCTGTATTTGGTTTTGCCAGCTCTTCAGATGGAGAATGGGATCTCCTCTCTTCCTTTACTTAAGTCACTCTTAGCTCCTTGCTGAGAAGCAGACTACAAATCTCATCACAACCCTTCTCTTAGTGTTGGTCTGTCCTGCGGAGTGCAGATGTGTGATCTCCAGAGACTTAAATGTTGTTGTGTAGCCACTGCCCTTAAAATAATCCAACAAATAATCATCCAGCAAAAAGATCAGGAAAACCAGATGTTAGAATTAGCAGGAAAAATATGTTAAAAAAGTGATTATAACGTTATCCCTTCCATTTCATGGAAGTTTATACAACCATGCCCAGGACTTGATATGCAATTAAACACCTCAAATAGTGGTGAAGATATGGATCAATTATACTCTTAGACATTGTTAATAGTCTATCCTTCAGTTTAGGATGACAACAAGTGGGACACAGAGAAACAGAAGCTTCTCTATACCCACACCACAGCTTACTATCTACCTTAACACAACTTTACTACTAAATTGTCTTCATTAACATAGCTTTATTGTTTCAGGAAACTTTTGCCCAGGGAGATAAAAGTTGCAAATAACTTTCTGAAAGACTAAAAAAATTACTTAATAGCATGAAACTACCATTTACTCAGTAAACATCTTGCTTCAAAATTTTTGCCTTCTGTGTAAATCAATCTTAAATTATATACGAACAGATCATTCTTCTTTAGGAATAACAGAACTAGATTGGCTTTTCTGCTTGAAACAAGAAAAAAACTAACAAAAACAAATGAACAAAGCAATTTTTTTTTTTTTTAGGCAGCCAAGCACAGAGATCCTTGAGAGATGACGAAAAAACAAGATGAGTCCTGTAACAGCTCAGCTTATTGTTTTGAGGACATTTTCAGGTGTAGCACAGGGAGGAGAAGCTCAGAAGACTCTCTGAGTTAAGGAGATTGAACAAAGAATCAAGGAGGACTAAAGCATCTGGAGTACAGAGTACCAGAGTATATAAAGATATGACATGAGAGAACCCTGAAGATTTATAGAAGGGTCCCCTTAATTATTCAACAAAATATATACAGATCAACACAGATGTATGAGGAAACTACTTGGAGCTAGGAAAAGAGCCATTTGAAAAGATTAGAGGAAATGGTACTGAATGCTCATACAGGACTGGGGACTTTGACTGTTTCAATAAACCATGCTAGAGAACTCAACCCACTGGGTATTGGATAGAGTACTTAGGAAGGTCTTATCTCTGTTGCAAGGAATGACTGGCCCTAGACAGAGCACTGCTCTAGACATGCCTAACAAATCATAAATGCAAGACTGAAAAAAATCAAGTTGTTCATAAAAAATTTAACTGATTACAGAACAAAATTCAAGAATGTTTAGAGGAATACAAAAAAGTCCCACACTGAAAAGGAGAAACTTTTCAATGTCAGGCATCTAAGCAAAGATTACCAGACATAAAAAGAAGCAGGAAACCATGATCCTTATGGGAGAATGCACATATAATTAAAACTGACCCAGATGTTAGAATTAGCAGAAAAAATACATTAAAAAGTTATTATAACATTATTCCATATTTTCAAAAAGTTAAGTGGAAACATGGAAGATATAGAAAAAAACCCAAATTGAATTTTTATAAAGATGGAAACAATGTTTGCAAGGAAAGCACACTGGCTGAGATAACAATGGTTTAGATACTGCAGAAGTACATTTTAATGTGCTTGAAGACATAACAACAACTATAGAAAATAAAACACAAGGAAAATATTAAAATGAAAACAGCATCAGTGAGCTGTGAGTAAACTTCAAGTGACATAATAGATATTTAATTGTAGCCCTTAAAGGAGTAGGAGAACAGAAAAAAATATTTAAAGGAATAATAGTCAATCATGATGAAAACTATAAACATGCAGATGCAAAAATCATCAACCCCAAGCAAAAAATGAAGAAAACTACACCAAGGCCATCCAGAATCTACAAGGAAGTCAAACAAGTCAGCAAGAAAAAAGCAGCAATCCCATCAAAAAAGTGGGCTAAGGACATGAATACACAGTTCTCAAAAGAAGATATACAAATGGCCAAGAAACATATGAAAAAATGCTCAACATAATTACTAGGGAAATGAAAATCCAAACCACAATGCGATACCACCTTACCCCTGCAAGAATGGCCATAATTAAAAAAATAAAATAATAGATGCTATTTTTTTTGTGGTGAAAAGGGAATGGCCGAAAAGGGATGTGGTGAAAAGGGAACACTTTTACACTGTTGGTGGATTGTAAACTAGTACAACCAGTATGGAAAACAGTGTGGAGATTCCTTAAGAACTAAAAATAGATCTACCATTTGATCCAGTAATCCCACTACTGGGTATATACCCAGAAGAAAATAAGTCATTATATGAAAAAGATACTTACACATGCATATTAATAGCAACACAAGTTGCAATTACAAAAATATGGAACCAGCCCAAATGTCCATCAGTCAATGAGTTGATAAAGAAAATGTGGTACACACACACACACACACACACACACACACACGCAAGCCATGGAATACTACTCAGCCATAAAAAGGAACAAAATATGGCTGTTGCAGCGAACTGAATGGAATTGGAGACCATTAATCTAAGTGAAGTAACTCAGGAATGAGAAAGCAAACATCATGTCTTCTCACTTAAAAGTGGGGGATAAGCTATGAAGACAAAGGCATTAGAATGATACAGTGGACTTTGGGGACTTGGGGGAAAGAGTGGGAGGGGTAAGGGATAAAAGACTACACATCAGGTGGAGTGTGCACTGCTTGGGTGACAGGTGCACCAAAATCTCAGAAATCACCACTAAATAACTTATCCACGTAACCAAACACCATGCTTCCCCAAAACCTATCAAAATAATAAATAAATAAAAATGGCTTAAATCCAATGATAAAAATAAAACCTTAGAAGCAGCCAGAAAAAAAAGACATGATATTTACAGAAGAACAAAGATAGGGTGGGAGCAGATTTCTCATTGGAAACAATGCAAGTGACAAAACAGTGGAGCAGCAACTTTAAAGTACTAAAAGAAAAAAAAAACCTGAAGCCAGCAGAAAGAGCTTTCAAAAACAAAGGTGAGATACAGATATTTTCAGACATACAGCACCTGAAAGAATTTACCACCAGCCAACCCATACTACAAGAAATTTAAACGAAGAGCTTCAAGGTAGAAGGAAAATGATACTAGATGGGAATCTGGATCCATGAAGAGCACAGAAAATGGTAAAAACATGGATAGTTGTGTAAGAATTTTTATTAGTAGTATCTCTTTAAAATATATTTAACAGTTTAAACACAAATAATGCATTGTGGGTTTACCACATAAAAAAGTAAAATGTATTAAAACGATAGCATAAAGTCAGGGAGAGGGCTGGGCGTGGTAGCTCACGTCTGTAATCCCAGCCCTTTGGGAGGCTGAGGTGGGTGGATCATGAGGTCAGGAGATTGAAACCATCCTGGCCAACATGGTGAAACAACCCCTGCCCCTGTCTCTACTGAAAATACAAAAAAATTAGCTGAGCGTGGTGTCACGCACCTGTAGTCCCAGCTACTCAGAAGGCTGAGGCAGGAGAATCGCCTGAACCAGGGGAATCGCCTGAACCAGGGAGGCGGAGGTTGCAGTGAGCTGAGATCGCGCCACTGCACTCTCCAGCCTGGCAACAGAGTGAGACTCCATCTCAAAAAAAAAAAAAAAAAAAAAAAAAAAAAAAAAGGTCGGGGAGGGGAGAAATAGAAATATATAACTTGTAAGTTTTTATATTATACATGAAATGGTACAATACCACTTGAAAGTAGATGGTGATAAAGATATTTACTATAAATCCTAAAGCAACCACTAAAATAATACCACAAAGAGTTATAGCTGAAGAGCCAACGAAAGAAGACAAAATGTAATCATAAAAAAGACTCAATTCAAAAGAAGGCAGAAAACGAGGGAAAGGACAATAAAGAACAGATGTAACAAATAAGAAATAAATGAAAAATTATCAATTAAGGCCTAATCATATCAATAATCACATTAACTACAAATAGTTGAAATACCTCAATTAAAAGGCAGAGATTGTCAAATTGGCTAAAAAAGCAAGGTCCAATTATATGTTGTCTACAAGAAACACACTTTAAACTTAAAGGTACAAATAGGTTAAATACATAAGTATGCAAAAAGATATCCCATGCTAAGACTGTTCAAAAGAAAGCTTCAATGTCTGTATTAATATCAAGAATATTTTAAAAAATTGTCCAGGATAAAGAAGGTAATTTTATAATGATAAAGGGAATAATTAGTCAAAAGGACTTAAAATTATAAGTGTTTATGGCTTTGAAAATGGAGCTTTAAAAATATATGAACTGGGGCCAGGGGAGGTGGCTCACACCTGCAATCCTAGCATTTGGGAGGCCGAGGTGGGCAGATCCTGAGGTCAGGAGTTTGATACCAGCCTGGCCAACACGGTGAAATCCCATCTCTACTAAAAAATACAAAAATTAGCCAGGCATGGTGGTGTGCACCTGTAATCCCAGCTACTCAGGAGGCTGAGGCAGGAGAATCACTTGAACCCAGGAGGTGGAGGGTGCAGTGAGCCAAGATTGCACCACTGCACTCCAGCCTGTGTGACAGAGCGAGACTACGTCTCAAAAAAAAAAAAGTATATATATATATATAGCCATTTCTCAGAGTTAATATAACAAGTTCACAGAAAATCAACCAAGATACAGTAGAGATTAATAGCACAATCAATCAACATGACCTGGTTCACATTTATAGAACACACTCCACTCTACAACAGCATAATGTTCAACACTGTTAGTCATTAAGGAAATGAAATTAGTACCACAATGTGAAGTCACTACACACCTGTTAGAGAGGCTAAAATTAAAAAGACTGATTATACCAACTATTGGTTAGGATATGGAGAAACTGGAAATTTTATTCACTGCTATTGGGAATGTAAAATGATTCAACTTTGGAAAACACTTGGGCAGTTTCTTCAGAAGATAAAAATCAACTGTATTCAACCATTCTTCTCCTGGGTGTATATCCAACAGAAATGAAAGCATATGTTTTTTTACAAAAACTTGTGCACAAATATTTAGTAGCTTTCTTAATAACAGCCAAAACTGGAAACAATCAAATGCCCTTCAAGTGATGAATGGATGAAAAATTGTGGTATATTCACACAAGGGAATACTTTTTCAACAAGAAAGTCAATGCATTATTGATATATGCAATGTAAGTGAATCTCAAAACAATTATGCTAAGTGAAAGATACCAGAGAAAAAGAAGCCATATTATGTGATTTCATGATGTGAAATTCTAGAATGTATTGTTAGAAAAAGCAGATCAGTGGTTGCTTGGGATGGAGTGAGAGGAGGGCAGAAAGGGAAGAATTATAAATGAGCATGAGGAAACTTCGGGAGCTGCGGGAATGTTCACTAGCTTGATTGTGCTGATGGCTCTATGGGTGTATACACATCACAGCTTATCAAGTTGTCTTATTTTATTTTATTTTATTTTTAGGGGGAGTTTCGCTCTGTCACCCAGGCTGGAGTGCAGTGATGCGATCTCAGCTCACTGCAACCTCCACCTCCCAGGCTCAGGTGATTCTTCTGCCTCAGCCTCCTGAGTAGCTGGGATTACAGGCACCTGCCACCATGCCCAGCTAATTTTTGTATTTTTATTAGAGAAAGGGATTCACTATGTTGGCCAGACTGGTCTTGAACTCCTGACCTCAGGTGATCCACCCGTCTTGGCCTCCCAAAGTGCTGGGATTACAGGCATGAACCACTATGCCTGGCCGGGTTGTCCGTTTTAAATATGTACAAAAATTGTCAATTATATCCCAAGAAAACAGCTGAACAATAGGAATTTTACAAGAACTGAAAATAGGAAATTATTATTTTATGATCTTTACCCAACTTAACCAAGTCTCCAAATTGAAAGAATCGCCTTCAATCAGATTTCAAACTCTCAATAGATATCCTGATTTTGCTCTTTCCTCTCTGAGACACTACCATGGCTCTGTGGAGGCAGTGTTCTCCCCTTTACGCCACTAAGCCGTAAACTCACTTAGTCTGATCAACAGGCTGCTTTGGTATTATTTTGGGGAGCCAGCATTTGATAGTACTTCACTTCCATACAATATGACACATATTAAAAAGAAGGGATTCTACACCAGTTAACATAAAGAAATTCCAGGATGTCATGTTAAGTGAGAAAAGCCGAATGCAGAGGAAAGTTTTCTGTTTTTGTATTTCTATTTTGTATTTTGTTTTCTATTTTTGATTTAAACAAACAGCATCTTAGATGAATATATATGCATGTGTATGATGACATGACCCATGAGATAGCTTTGGATAGAATCATGCCAGTTAATAAACATTGATTATCTGGGGGAAATGATGTATATTGGAGGGTAGGAAGGTGGGAGTAATAAAAAAAAAAAAAAGAAAAAAAAACAGGGAAGCAGAAAAAATCACATATCCAAAGAAAAAGAAGTGTCCATAATCCAGCAGCATTTGTATTACGCACCCATTTCTATGCTTAGAGATAGCTTCAAACTGTTACTCGAAATAATGTCAAGTTTCTTTGAATTTTCCTGAATTAACAAACACACAGCAAAAACTATTATTTTATTACCCTCTCTGTTACTTCTATCTCTAATTTTACAGGTCTAATCTCATTAATTATAATAATTCTAGTGTAGTGAATAGTAAATTTTGGAATAATAAGATCTCTTTAATAAGGATTTTTTTCTACAAACAGCAATAACTTTTGCTTTATCATTTGTTTTACAAATCTCATTAAAACTTTACTGGTTGATCAATATTTGAGAATTTTTAAAGATATAAATCTTCTACTGTGTTTTTTTAAAAAAGAAAACTGTTCTAATGCCCATGTTTTCACTTTTACAAAACTAGCTTAATTCCATACAAACTGCAAAGACCTTGGCACTGCCTTTGTCTCCAGTGAAAAATGAGCTCCATTTGATGGCTGACCTTCC
Source organism: Homo sapiens (assembly GCF_000001405.40). Lineage (NCBI taxonomy): Eukaryota > Metazoa > Chordata > Mammalia > Primates > Hominidae > Homo > Homo sapiens. The sequence goes on from NC_000006.12 coordinate 163,804,680, forward strand.
AAACAACTGTAGCTTCCACAGAAATATATAGGATCTATCGGCCCACAGCTGTTACCTTATAAGAATCATTACTTGAGTGCTCAAGGGAAAACTAGTTCCACGGGTAAGGCTGCGTTGATGGAACACTCAAAAATACAATAAAATAAAATGGATGCATATAAACCGTGAGTGAGAGCTTTGATTAGAAGCAAAGATGAGTATTTTTGCTACCGAAGATAGGCAGAGTGGTGTCAGTGTTGGAGAAAATTGGCTGTTAACATTCGCAATTATGGGAGACACTTAAATGGATGCTTTTCACGGCCCTTCCTCAAAATGGAGATGAGTGAAAATTTCGCAAATAATGCAGCTTATAAAATAGAAGTGTAGCTGAGAGTATATTAGGTTGCTTGGAGAGGTGAATTAGCATCTTTTGTCTATGTGTGGTGTTTTGTGGAATGTTCATGAAGGCAGTGAGAAAAGATGGTTGAATTTCCTGACCAATTCCTTTTTATGCTGTTGACTTGTGGTTTGGCAGAAGCGACAGATTCCTTCATCTTTTAACGTTAACCAAGTAGCTCTTTGCTACCCAAACGACCAGAAACAGATGCTCCCCTCCTTATTTCCTTTAAAGGTGGGACATTACCTACTTTGATAGACGATGGAAATGGTTTCATTTATAACCCTCCAATGTTTAAATTCCTCATGCTCCAGTCACGTTACGGCGGTCACCTTGGGAAGTTTGGGCATATGCTTTATGTTTTGCTGGGATGAGAAATGTGACTAATGCCTCGATAACCTGAAATGAGCCTCCTGCCTCTTGGGTGTCATCTTTGCATGTGACTTTACAGTGTGTGTTTTCTGTGTCCCTTCTCCTTGCCTTATTACCAGCTTCTTCCTTGCTCCCTAATGGACCATTCAGGTGCTGTTCAGAGATTTGTTTTATTGTTCAACTTCAAAGGTAACGCATATGATGCAGGGAATTCAGAGATTAGATTGCCGGGGCACTGACAGTAAGCCCATATAGATAAGCATAGGGAAAATTTTTAATTAAAACCAATTAACATGAAATTGGAGTTTCTAGTCATTAATTGTGCATAGTCTGATTTAAATTTCTGAAGCTCCATGGGTTTTGCATTAGTGACTGAATCGGTGGGAACAAGGATATTCATGGGTATTGTCTTTGCAAGTGACTTTACCTAAAGTTCCCTTGCAACTTTTGTTTCCACTCAGGAATGAGACTGAGGTGAAATGCCTAGGGATAGAGGGAGGGACAGGGAGTCATGAAGAACTCCAGCTATGCTGCCCAGGGCACATGAGCCAAAGCTTTCTAGGGGCCCAGAGTTTTCCTCCTCCCTGACAAAAAGTATATTCCTTGAAGTAGTCATGGCCTTTGTAAATGATTTCAAGTAATAATATTGAAGCCATTTTCCAAGAGCATAGATTTAACCTTTGGTCTCCCCAGCTTCTCATGGACAACAGCATGGCCCTGTGGGTGGTGAGGCCAGTGGAGGAGGGCAGAGTGGCCTCAGGAATATCAGTAAGCCAGGCGCAGGTGCATGGTCGCACAGTGGGCATTGCTCCCAGGGCTGTCCTGGTACATGTGGGGACAGCCACAGCTCAGGCCCCTTGAAGAGTAAGAGCTCTGGCCTGGGGAAGTCACACTCCCCATTGGTGGACCTGGACCTGAAGCGAGACTTTCACATATCATAAACCCTCTTTTTATCACCAGTGATAGGGAGATGATAGTATTTGTGACGTCTGTCCTCAGCAAGTCCAACTGAGTCTCTGGGCTCTGCTGGTAACAGTGGGAATTGTACTAGGGGGTTTGAGAGGACAAAGGAGTGGCAAGAAGCACTGCCACTGATTACTGATGAAGTTAGTAGTCAGGGTTCTCCAGGGAAACAGAATCAATAGGGTGTGTTGGTTATGCATTACTTATATGATGTGTACATATGGAGATAATGTAGGCTGTGTGTGTATATTTACATATGTTCATATGTATATACAGTATATATAATTATGTAATATATAATGTACATGTATGTATATTACATATATTGCAGATATAGGTATATGTATTATATAGTATTCATATATACTATATATGTTAATGTCTAGTAAATATGTATAATTACATATAATTATAGATAACATGTCTATAATAGTAATATATAATATAAAACAAGAGAAAGAGAGAGGGAGGGAGAGAGATCTATGTTACAGTTGGCTCATATGATGTGGGGGTTGGTGAATCAGACATCTGGAGGCCAGGCCAGCAGGCTAGAGTCTGGAAGGAGTTGGTGTTGCAGCCATCTGGAGGCAGAATTTCCTCTTCCTAGAGGAGTCTTTTTTCTCTTAAAGCCTTCAGCTGATTGATTGGAGCCCACCCACATCATGAAGGGCAATCTGCTTTACTTAAAGTCCACAGATTAAATGTTCATCTCATCTAAAAAATACCTTCACACCAACATCCAGAACAGTGCTTGACTAAATGTCTGGGTACGTTGGCCTGGGCCCAGCGGATGCATGAAATTAACCATCCTGCCTGACGAGGGTGGAGCCGAGTCACCCATGCTGTGATTGGCTGTCCCAGGAGCAGCTCCGTCTTGATTGGTTGGTCGGAAAATTGGAGGCAGAGGGGCAGTGGGAGTGGCCGTGCGGGCCTGCTTTGGGAACAGAGGGACCCTCCCTGCTGTTCTGTTCACACGGAAGCGTGTCTCAGCGTCTGGGGGCTTGGAGAAAGAAGCCCTGAGGGGCGGTCCTGAGAAGAATGCAGCAGTGGCAGAGCAAGCCTCGGCTTACCAGGAAGTAGGCCTTGGAGACAGGGGGTATGCCAGGCCAGCTAAGGACTGCGGTGTCGGAGAGACTAGGGCTGGCTTTCAGACCAAGTCCCCTCTGAGAGTTTCTTTAATTACTCACCTCAAACCCAGTTTACTTCCTAAGACGGGAGCGAATCCTGCAAGTGAGCCCTGAGAACAAGCACAAAGTCTGCTGGCAGAGAAGGGTCCGCCCGAGGCTCTGGCCCCAGGGAACCCCTCGGTTCTTCTCCAACATTTTGCTGAGGGAAGGCTGCTCTTGTGTTGAACCTACCGAGGGAGAGTTCCTAGGTTTGCATGGCAAGAAATGTGAAGATATTTTTAAGACAAATTCACCCCTGCACACCACCGGCTTTCGAGTCACAGACCCTAGTAAGAGCTCAAGAGTGACTTCATTTGTAATAGCTGAAGGATTATATTTTATCACATATTTGCCCATCAAAACATTATATGACACACATTAAATATTTTTCTATGTTTTATCTGTCATGTGGTTTTTTTCTTGATGAACATTTATATCTTGCTACATTTTGAAGTTTAAAACCATGAGATATAAAACTGCTAAGGTGTAAACTTCCAGCAGTACTTGTATAGAGCCATTTCCGTGACAGCAAAATTAATTTTCATGAATAAAGGCCAGAAGAAAATATAACATAAAAGGATGGTAATTTCTGGGTAGAGGGATTACAAGTAATTTTATTTTTCATCTTTTTTTTGTTTTGTTTTGCGAAAATTGTGCATTAGCTTGTATTACAGTTAGAAGACTCCTCACTATTCCAGTCTGAAACATTAAGCCTCTTCATCTTTAAATTCAATTGAGAAGAGTGGTCAATTTAGAGATTAAAATGGATTCCAGCCATAAGGGGCCAGTTAAGTCCTTTAAATCAATTACCCACAAGATCCAAGCCAATAAGATGAAAAGCAGCGTGCGCTCTATAGGCTAACCCGGGAACATTTAGAAATGAAAGTCACCCGAGTTTACAGCAAAGGGAGTCTGGACTCTGTTTCTCCTTCACTTGACAGGGCTGTGCCTGGTGAAATACAAAATTATGATCAAGACAAAGGAAGGACAGGGGACTAAGAAAAAAACTCCAGTCATCAGTTAGCAGGCACACAGCGGGCACTGCAAGCATCTCAGGGTCTTTACGTGCCTCCTCAATTTCTTTTTAAGGTAGCTCAGCCTCCAGCTCTCGTCTCCCCTCCCCAGTCATCTTTTTTCTTAAAATTCATATTCTGGACAGAAGTCAGTGGGTTTCCTTACAGTTTTATTAAGATTTTCAATTTCTCAGAAATAATTTCTAGGCCTTGAAGCTTCAGCAGAGAGCATGTGCTTTGTACATGGAGTTTACCAGATGGAACCATTAGGTTATATTTATAGGTGAAAAGCCGCGTGAATCTGGGACTTTTCCCTTATGCTGGGCTGCTATATTTTGAGAGACAGATGCCTTGTAAAGATGAAAGATGGGAGGAGAGGATGGAACTGTTGTCAACAATTAGAAAAATGGTACTGGAAATCGGCGATGATTTTTTTACAGGCCCATTTTAATTCGTGAGTGTTAGGGAGACAGTCATCCAGGGTCAGGTTGGTGAGGCAAGACTGAGTTGGGAAATGTGTATTCAGTTGGCAAGAAAGGTCAGTGCACTAGAACTCCTTTCATTGTCTGGATTTTCAGAAGAGTGCTCGACGGTGTCTGATACATGGGGAGGTTGACAATGGAGCAGGGAAGGAAAGTTGTTCACTAGGAATGTTCTGGAAATTCACTTCTTTTTATACAGACTATTCTTTCTCTCTCTCCATCACAAGGTATCAGTAAAACACAGTCTGCCCAGGAGTGGCTCATGCTCCCAGAGGCGTGGGGAGGAGCTGTGTTGTGGAGACACACGTTTCCTTCTCTCATTCCCTGAAGAGAACAGACACCCCAAAAATGTGGCAGCCGGAGGAAACCTCACTCCCCAGACTCTGCAGGAAACTTACGTGCAAGTCTTTTACGTAAGTGAAAGATTTACGTAAAAGTCTTTTTTACATAAAGAGGACTGTCCAAGCCCAACTTTGTTCACGTTGGCAGCTCAGACTGAATTGTTTTGAATTATTTGAGGGATGGTCCGTCATGGCAACAAAGGCTCGCTCTGCAGCGCAGTCTCCAGTAGAGCTGTGGACAGCTCATGCAGTTTTTGGACATGTAAATCATATAAATAGTTAAATACACAAGTTGAGATGCATTTGGTCAAATAAGGTTCTTTCTGAGCCCTAAGTGTTTGTAGAAAAAGCAGCAGTTCCTATTTATGGTTTGTGACCATTTGTTTCCCTACATGGTATTAAAAGGAATTATTTGTGTACAGACACTATATAATATGGGTGAATTGCACTGGGTGCTCACTTGAGATGTGTGTGTGTATATATATAATTTTTCATCTTTTTTTGTTTTACAAAAATTGCCCATTAGCTAGAATTACAGCTAGAATTACAGTTAGATTTAGAAGACTTCTCATGATTCCAGTCTGAAACATCAAGCCTCTTCATTTTAAAATTCAATTGAGAAGAGTGGTCAATTTAGAGATTAAAATGGATTCCAGCCATAAGGGGCCAGTTAAGTTCTTTAAATCAATTAAATCAATTAATAATCAATAGATATGTGTGTGTGTGTGTGTGTGTGTGTATATGTATCTCCCTTGAGATATGTGTGTGTGTGTGTATATATATATATTTAATTCACCATTGCTGCCTTGAAACCTTGATATTTTGATGCAGGTGGCCTATGATTAAAATTAGAATAGCAACAGACATCCATTGCCAGTCCAGGCCCAATTGTCTGGGAGTGTGTGTGTGAGAATATGTCATAGAGTTTTAATGGAGAGTAAGGAGGTTTGGGACTCAAAGAAATGGTTAGTCCCAGTTTTTAAAGCTAGTATAAGAATTTATATGATGACGGTGTGTATATGCATGTGTCCATGTCTGTGTGCGTCTCACACACACACACACACACGCAACCCGAGTGATTTGTTGTTTTGTGTGCTGTTGTGCCGGCAGGCAATGCTGTCCGTGCTCTACTCAACAGTCTGCTTTCCTCCAAAGCTGAAACCCTAGAGCAGTTGATCTAATGTGTCTTGCACTAGGGCAGGCATTTATGAGGATGTGGAGCGACACATTTGCTGTCATGGCTTTCTCATGTGTATTTATCACCACCTCATTACTGAGGTGCTCAGAGTTAAATCTCAAGAGCAGAGTAGAATCCAGAACATGGTATTTAAACCAGAGGATCAACCTGGTTGGTTGTCCTTAATTCTTGGAATTTAAGCAAGAGAAAGAATTTTAAATGAGAAAAAGGACAAAGGGCTTTAACACCATTTAAGAGAATGGGGATTCTGACATTTGGGTTCCTATTGTACATTAAACTTTCTCCATTACTGCCTTGGGGAAATGGAAATTGCTGTAATTGGGGGTAATAGATACAATAAAGTGTGCAAATTTTACCCAACACATAAACAAACAAAGCCATTATGGTAATTCAAGTCTACATTTTATTTTCCTATTCTCTGCATTCCTGAATAAAAGCAAGGAGTTGCCCCATGACTTTGACATTTAATATTAGGCTGATCTTTTCAGGCCATTTTCTTCCCACATATCTATACACACACACACACACACACACACACACACACACACACTTTTTTGTATTATTCTGCAGTCCTCACAGTCATAGTTAAAGGTTTGGGATGGAGTCCCAGAGCTATGCTAGTTCAAGCCCCTGCCTCAAGCAATGCTAGCCAGCTGAATCGTAAAGATGGCAATAAATCCTATTAGTGCAGATTTCAAGGACTTATAACTTCTCTTGGTGGCCTGTGTTTGCATTTAATCATTTAGACAAGCATTTTTCTAATAGCTGAGCAAATTTTCTTTGTATTTGATGCAGAGGTACATTATTTAGGGTCTTTATTTAAACATAATTAATTGAAATAAATTTTACTTTGAGGAATAGTAGTTCTCAGAATTCTTCAGCTTGCCTGCAGATAAGCTTGGTAGACTGCAGCTGCTACATGGAGCCCGGCTGCCCCTAGCAGTACATGACCTTGCCATCTTTGCCAGGCATATTTCTGCTGTAGCCTCCAGTTTCTTACAGAAATAAGACTGCATTATATGTTTTATTGGTTTATTCTTTTAGTGTTGTGTCTTGAATCTTTAGTTCTCTTATTATTTTTTCTCTGTCTTTTTAATATTTGCTTAGTTCAGTCCTTGGCAAAAAAAAAAAAAGCCATTCAATAAATATTTGTGGAATGGAAAAATGAGTATACCTCAGATGTTTTGCTGAAATAGAGTTATATTACTTTAGGGTATATCAGATAGGTTCCTTTGCTGTAGGACCTTTCAGAGTCTAAAATGTTATGTATCTTGTGTGGATAAAAGGGAGATAGAATTTTGTGAAGTTTGTTTTCTCTGAATATAATTGGTTCTTAAAATGGTGTGTGATGGTTGATTTTATGTGTCAACTTGAGTGGGCTAAGGGTTGCCCACATAGCTGGTAAAACATGATTTCTAGGTGGGTCTGCAAGGATGTTTCCAAAAGAGATCAGCATTTGAATCAGTAGACTGAATAAAGACCACCCTCTTCAATGTGAAGGGCATCACACATTGCAAATGGCCTGGATAAAACGGGCCAGGCATTCCACTTGGCTGAGTTATACCACTGACTTCCTGGTTCTCCAGCTTGCAGTTGGGATATGGTGGGACTTCTCTGCCTCCACAATCATGTGGGCCAATTCCCCACAATAAATCCCCTCTTATATATATCCTCTAAATATATCCTATTGGTCCTTTCTCTCTGGAGAACCCTGACTAACACAGAGTGCTTGGCATATAGTAATGAGTGTGTGTGTGTGTTGTTATTTATATTGTTATTATTGTTTTTGTTACTGCATTTGTCTTTGCAACCCTTTTTCATGGGATTTCTTAGTACTAGAGTTTCAGTAGAACACACTTTTGGGAAAGGCTAACATATTCTCATCCTATGTTAGGAAGATTCATTGATTTATATTACATTAATGTGTAATAATTCACTGGGGCTTGTCTGACGTTTATCATTGTGTTATCTATAACAATGCAGTTTGTTAGGAAATCAATTTGACAAAACAAACTTCAAGGGGAATGCTTAATTTCAAGTGAACGAAGTCCTCAGAACACGCACAAGCACTTTTGAAGCACCGATTTATTTTCTTATAAGTGTTGATGAGCCAGTGACTTCTAAGAAGACCATCTTGGACCTGTTCCTGGCAACATTTTATGATTTTGTTTCATTTTATGTGTTTTCAATTAAAGACACTGCATTTGTCATCTTTCCTTGTCAGTCAGAACTAGTTGCTGATTAGTTAGATGCAGCACTCTAGAATGTTTCTTTGTACACTGACTTGTGTCAGTGACATATCACTGACATGTTTTTATTGATGTCCCCACCCAAATTTCATGTTGAACTGTAATCCCCAGTGTTGGAGGTGGGGCCTGGTGGGAGGTGTTTGGATCCTGGGAAATTTCGCCCTTGGTTGTGATGGTGAGTTCTTGTGAGATCTGGTTGTTGAAAAGGGAAGCAGCTCCTCCCCAACTCTTTCTCCTACTCCTGCCATGTAAGACACCTGTTCCCCCTTTGCCTTCTGTCATGAGTAAAAGCTCATGAGGCCTCCCCAGACGCAGAAGCCACTATGCTTCCTGTACAGCCTGCAGAATCACGAGCCAATTAAACCTCTCTTCTTTATAAATTACCCAGTCTTAGATATTTCTTTATAGCAATGCAAAAATGGACTAATACAGTCAGGATGAAATTCCATCATGGTTTTAGAGCTGATTTATCATGTTTATCAAGGTCCCTTTGGATTATTTCTGTGTTCTAAGATGTGGCGAGCTTATTGTCTTCTGTAAGCATGGTGGCTACCATCCATTCAGATAAGAGTTCGTGGTGAGAGTGATCAGTTGCCTTCCTTCCTTCACTCCACTGAATGTCATTACTTGCAGTATCCCTATGGTTTTACAGGAGGCTTAATTGTGCCTTAAAATTGCCTTTCCCTTTTGCTTCCAAAATTAACATCCTTACTGAAGCATGGGTAGATTGTGCCCCTTGCTTAACCAGTCTCTCTGAGGCCTGTCATTGTCAAAGAAGAAGCTAGAATGCATCTGTCAGGACTTTGTTACTTGCATTTACAAAGGAACTCTTATTTGGAATAAATTCTGAGCATCAGACTTTCATTGACGGGGCCGGGTGAGGTGGCTCATGCCTGTAATCCCAGCACTTTTGGAGGCCAAGGTGGGAAGATTGCTTGAGGTCAGGAGTTGAGACCAGCCTGGCCAACATGATGAAACGCTGTCTCTACTAAAAATACAAAAATAAGCCAGGTGTGGTGGCTCACAACTGTAATCCAGCTACTCGGGAGGCTGAGGCTGGAGAATTGTTGGGACTCGGGAGGCAGAGGTTGCAGTGAGCTGAGATCGCACCACTACACTCTGGCTTGGGCAACAAAGCGAGACTCCATCTCAAAAAACAAACAACAACAACAACAAAAAACACACAACCCCCCACCCCCCAAAAAAAACCCAAAAAACTTTCATTGACTGGTCTGCAGTTACCAAGGTAGTTCTCCGCCCCCACTTTCCTCCCTTCCCCACCACTTTCTCTTTCTTCTCTTTCTTCTTTTCTGTTTTCTTTCTACCCTCTCTTCCTTCCTTCCTTGCTACCTAACTTCCCTCCCTTTTCCTGTGAGTACTCTGTCTATTTCCAGCCCTCAGGGACTTTCCTTGTCTTCCATGTCAAGTATAACAGTGGCAGATCTTCAGTAGCTCTTGCCGATTTGCCAACAGGATGTGAAACTTTCTAGCTGGCCTCTGCTGTGCTCACCAACCTGGCCAGAAGGGACAGCTTTTTATACTCTGGGTTTATGTCTCGAAGCCCCAAGAAAAATTAGAAATTCATAAACACATGATAAGTAGAATTTTATCACTGATTTTTCTGTTGTCAAATTTGAACAACTGATTTAAAGTTCAGTTTATTATAGCTTGAGAGGAGTTGGAAAAGCATTCGAGACAAATATTTTTGGGCTCAGAACACGTGTGAGGTCACTTTGCCCTCGTAGAAGTCTCCTAGTGGTGATGTTGAATGGTGATACGAGATGGAAATCTGGAGTCTATTCCTGGAACCTCCTCTGACTCATCCCGTTATCCGGGGACGATTATTTCATCATTACTCTTGCATCTGAAGGATGTGGATGTATATTAATGCTCTAACCTTCACGCATCCTTGAATCCTGAGTAGTCTGCTGGAGTCTGTCCTGCAGCAGCTTCCTGGAAGAGTGGCCAGCCCGCTGCGTGGAGGGACTTGGAGGGGTCAAGGTCTCAGCAGCAGGGCCTGGGGTGACTGCAGAGGCCAGAGATGCTCTTCAGGCTGTGCCTGAGGCATGGAACGGTCTGCAATGCCTCCTGAGCTTAGGTCTGGGCATGTGCCAAGTGACTAATCGTATGATTTTTATAACAGTTTAGAGGTTCTAAGGACATATGCATGTTAAAACCTTTACAAGATAATAGTTTCCTTTGATTTAAAGAAATATTGGTGTGGGGGAGCTGGCAAGAGGGAGAGGAAGGAACCACAGAAGCCCTTTCTAGACAGACCATCAGTGACAGAAGACTAGTACACACGCTCAGATATTTGAGATCAGCCAAGCGAAGCATGACTGAATTTCCTGATGCAAAGTTCTGGTGTTTTGTTAGGGGTAGCTTTTTGCATTCGGTATGAGTCTGGCTGTGTTGAACCCTGCGGATGAGAATACTGGCAGTCACTGCAGAGGCAATGAGGAGAGGGCTCTTTGGAAACATTCAACATGTAAGGAATGTGGTCCCCCACTTCCGCAGGTCCCCCACATTCCTTCCAACATTTAAGTGGAAGGGGTGGGGACAGGCCAGTGGCCATTTGTCCTGTCGCATATGACCCTTTGACAGTGAGTGGCCTCTGTGTTATGTAGCATGTTTACAACTAAAACACTAAATGATGGTGATAGAAAATACCAGAATGTAATGTAACTTCAAGATATATGAGCAGACCGTACACCATTGATTCTATGGAATGAACAATCTTATGATGCTTAAAAAAAGTTCATGATTTTAAAATGGCTCTTTATCTTTCTATTTAATCTGTTTGATTAAAAATGAAAGAGAGGGATAAAATAACGATTTGTTATTTTTCTTGTATTTTGAGAAGAAATGATAGAGCATAAGTCTGGAACTGAATCCTTATTGAAGGGATAAGGAGAGAGGATTCATCTCCAGGGTCCAAGTACTTATTCTCAGCAAATGATGTATTATAATTAAGCACTAATCTAAGAGGACCTAGAGTTCACAATGATTTCCCCAATTAATTCTGATTAGCATGTGAAGACAATAAGGGCAGGAATCATTATCCCACTCACCCAGCACAGAGAGGCTGCTCTCCGCCCAAGTCACACAGTGTCACCCATGAACCTTCCCCAGGCTCTCTGTGCTGCCTCCTTCTCCAGCAGCCATCAGTGCTTGAAGAAATGCAAAGACTGGTGGTTCCCGCTTGGGGAAGTGGTTCACCTTGCACAAGGTGGATAGTAGAACTGAGAAATGGACAGTGCCAGAAATCCCTAGAAATCTTTGTTGTTCCTTCTTTCTGATGCCTTGTCTTGGAGGTTTAATAACAGTGGCTGATATTTGTTGAAGTCTCACTGTGTACAAGTGCTTGGAAACACACAGTATATACATCCAAGTCACATAGTCCTACGACACTGGCATTGAAAGTCCATGTGGTTGGTATACATCCTAGCAGGTACATGTGGGGACTAGGAAACAGACCACTTGGATTCAAATTCCAGCTCCATCATCTGTGAGCTGTGTGACCTTGGACATGTTTCTTAACCTCTCGGAGTCCTAGGTCCTCATCTCTAAAATGGGGATAATAGGAGTTTTCTGTCTCATAGGGCTGTTATAATGATAAAATTATATGACAAACATCAAGGGCTTAGCTTACTATTTGGCATTCAGTAACTGTTTCTAATATGAACTAATAGTATGCCTCTTACTGAGCTTCCAAGTATGAGTTCAGAGATGAACAAGACTGCAATTCTGGCACCCTGACAGCTCAGCCAGCTTCTCTTCTGGGGCGGGGAGGGGGGGCGGTTGTAGACTGGCCTCAGCTGATTTAAATTTGTTGCTCTGGGGTTTAACCTAGGTGGAGGCAGTTCTGTGAGCATTTTCCAACCATTTGAAGTGTCTAAGACATCTATAGGACACCTGGCAATAGATGAAGCTCACATGGTTTAGGACAAGTTGGGTGTGAGTTGGTATGGATTATATCTGGAGTGATCAACTTTTGCTGGAACTAGACCTGGTTTAGGAGCTTAGGATAAAGATGGACAAGGTGCCATTTATACAGACGTTGGCTTGCCACTGTCTGGGCCCATCAGTTCCACATGTGTGCATGTGATTTATAGGTCTGGAATGCAATCAGCGTTTGTTAGAGCAAATAACATCCATTTCAATTTCTGCTGTGGAATGACCTTCTGTTGTACTGACAGATGCTGCCCTGAGCCTGGGCTCATATATTTCCCAGGTACCCCTGGAAATTCATGCATCTTAACATTGATGACTGGGAATGTGTAAAAAGTGGACAGTAATGAATGTTCACAATGTACCTGTTTTATGGAGGCAATTTCTACTTTAGTTGAGTTACCTTCAGAGGCTTTTAAAGTTGAGCAAAAGTACAAAATCCTATGAGCTCTGAGACAAATAGGTGTACTAATCGTATTAGTCCATTTTCATGCTGCTGATAAAGACATACCTGAGACTGGAAAGAAAAAGAGGTTTAATTGGACTTACAGTTCCACATGGCTGGAGAGGCCTCAGAATCATGGCGGGAGGTGAAAGGCACTTCTTACATGATGGGGGCAAGAGAAAAATGAGGAGGAAGCAATAAACCCTTCAGATCTCGTGAGACTTACTCACTATCACGAGAATAGCACAGGAAACACCAGCCCCCCATGATTCAATTACCTGTCTTTGGGTCCCTCCCACAACACATGGGAATTCTAGGAGATAGAATTCAAGTTGGGGTTTGGGTGGGGACACAGCCAAACCATGTCACTAATTTAATATTTTTTCCCATTCAGATATTCTGATTATAAAACAAAGGCATACCCACTGAAGAACATTTAGGAAAAAATAGAATTATAAAAAGAATAAATTAAATTCTAATTTTGCTATGAAGAGGTAATCACTGTCAATTTTTAGATGAGTTTCTTCAAATGTTACTTTTAATGGATGAATATACATTTATTTGTGAGTAAAACAGGGATTATGCAATGTGAAGAAATTTGCATCTTGATTTTATGCTTAGCACATATTGTAAACATGTCCCATGTTATTCAGTAATCTCCAGAAACATGATATTGATGCCGCCTGACATGCCATGGTCTATTTAAATGTGAGTTATAAAACCATTGATCTAATATTAAATGATATGTTTCTTGAAAATTTTCACTATTATAAGTAATAGTGAAAATGAGCATCCTCATTTTCCTGCACTAAATACACTTCTAGGAACCTATATTCAGAGTCCAAAGATTTGCAGAAAAGGATGCTCATTGCCACAATGAAAATGTGGCAGTGAGGATGCTCTTCTGTACATCTTTGATTGGACCGTGAGCACAGGTTCCTAGAAGTGTCTTTAGTGCAGCTAAGGGCATATACACTTCAGAGACATTAACACAGTATTTCCAAGGTTGTTCTCCCAAATTTCCTGGGTTAACTTCCCACATCAGTGCATGGCGGTGGCTGTTTCTCCGCACCCCACCAGCACTGAGAATGCTCATGTGTAGTGCTCTGTGTTCTACTATTTTTGTTCTGTCCTGTGCAGATTTCTAATATTTATCTTCAGTTGCTATTGTTAATCTTTAAAATTGACGTTTCTCATTATACAAATGTTAACCACACTGAAATATACAAAGTGAAAAGGAAGACTCCCCTCTCCTTCTCACCACCCAAAGACAGCTGCAGTTAATAGATGTGCACCTTTCCAATCCCTTCTCCCCTCTGTAAAATCTTACATAGGCGCAGGCAAATGTAAATATGTATAATAAAATTAGAATCTTATGCATCCACTATATCATCCATTTGCTTTTTTCCATTTAAAATACAGGCATTTTTCTATGTCAGTATGTTTAAAGAGTATTTCTTTATGTAGATGTAAAATGATTTACTTCATTACTGTCTTACAAAAGATGAGGCAATGAACATGCATATACATTCATTTTGACTGGTTATTGTGCCTATTTTTGCAGAATAAATTTCAAATGGAATTGTCTATCTAATTGCTTCAACAGCTGTCTCCAAACTGACTCCAAAAAATATTGGGCTAATTTATGCTTCTGTCAAAAGTGCATGAAAGTGCTCATTTCCCCACATCTGCATGAGCAATGGGTATTACTGACATTTTAATTTTTTTCACTCTGTTGGGTGAAAAGATTATCTCATTATTGTTTTAATTTGAGTTTCTTGGTTTTCTTATAATTATTCTTTCTCCTTTTTCTATCAGAAATGGTTATGAATTGTGATATACATTTCTGTTTTATCCACTGTATTTGGATGGAGAGAAATGTATAAAAACGTTCTAATAGTTTTGATTTTAAGATAAAAAAGCTGGCCAGGCGTGGTGGCTCATGCCTGTAGTTCCAGCAATTTGAGAGGCCAAGGTGGGTGGATAACCTGTGCTCAGGAGTTTGAGACCAGCCTGGCCAACATGGTGAAACCCCATCTCTACTAAAAATAAAAATAAAAAACTAGGTGGGCATGGTGGTGCGCACCTGTAGTCCCAGATGCTCAGGAGGTTGAGTCAGGAGTATCACTTGAACCCGGGAGGTAGAGGTTGCAGTGAACCGAGATTGCACCATTGCACTCCTGCCTGGGCAACAGGAGTGAAACTCCATCTCAAAAATAAAAACATAAAAAACAAAAAAGCTTACCCCACCTCCTCTTTCAACTACTGCCTTTTTTTTCCATTTTTTTCTTTGTCAACAATGTGTATGTGTGTGTGTGTGTGTGTGTGTGTATTCCTTCTTGATGTCTTACTGTGAATCCTTATGGTAATCTCAAACTTAATTTGGCCAAAGTAGAATTTCCTTCATAAATTTGCCCTCACACAGCCATATTCATCTCACAAACTAGGTCCAGCAGTTGCTTAAGGCAAAAATCTTGCCATTCTCTTTTCTTCTTCCGGGTTTATTTCAAGAACACAAGTAGGAGCTGCCGTTTTGAACCCTGGGAGCATCCTCAAGCGTGCCCACCATAGCCTCACCTGTGCACACCATTATGGTGTCTTGCCCCAGCCCGTGGAAAAGGCTTCTCCGCAGGAGTCCCTGCTTCCATCCTGGTCCTTCACACTCAGCACCCAACACCGTCTTTCCAAGACATGGATCAGATCCTATCACCTCTTGCTTAGAATCTCTATAGGTGTCCCAACTCGCCTACGATAAAACCCAACCTTGTCCCCTGGCGGGCACAGTTCAGTAGCTCCCTGGTCCTCACGTTGAGCCCCTTCTCTCCCCTCCGCTATTCCAGCCACACTGGCCTGCAGACAGGCAATCATTCCCACCTCGGCTGTGGGCTGGCTCCTCCCTCCACCGGGACTCATTCCTCCCGAGTGGGCTCCATCATCTAGCCCTCAGCCTGAGTGTGACTCACTGAGCACACACCTGACCCTTTATTCAGTAGCCGCGCAGCCACACTCCATCCCATCTCCTACTGGACTGCCGTGCTCCACGATACCTCCCACGGATGCGTTTCTGGCCTGATGCTTGGCGCTCTGGCAGTCTGTGTCATTCACCGCTCTGCCTCTGCCGCCTGGAGACGTGCCGGGCACGTACCGGGTCCTTGGTAACTGCGGAATTCGCTAATGAATGGGTGGACGAATTCCCCTCATACCTGCACTTTCATGGTTGTGTCTTTATGGCTTTATGTGGTTCCCTAAGGCTGGAATTCACCTATCTGTTCACTAATTCTGTTTTTCGAGATAATTTCTAAACTTCTGTCCTGCAAGGCCCTTGCTAAAACCCTCCCTCATCCCCATGCACCTGACCGGATCTCTCTCTTCTTTGAATCTCTACAGCACCTGGGGCTTCTCACTGACACGGACATTTTGCTCCCTATTTTGTAGCGTCTTTGTCTTTGTCTAATTATTCCTTAGAATTTAAGAGTCTTCATGCCACGAGTTATGTGTTTCTTACCGTTGTTTCTTCCATGGCACCGTGCATGGCAGCACACTGAGGCTGGTGATCTATAGACATTTGCCACATTGAACCCATTTTTACCCTCCTAGAATTGCACAGTATTTTAGGGCTAACAAAAATGCTTCATGAAATACCCTCTTGTGTAGTTCCTGCTTTCAAGCAAGCTATTCTGCCCTTGCTATCGGAGCTCCATAGACTCCCAATTGGGGTGACGTGTTGTAGTCGGGAATGTGCTGTGCACTAGATCTGAGAACATTTGGTAGCAATTCCATCTAAAATCAGGGTTCCTCTTTCTTCCCAAATCAAAATTCATTAGCATATCTATGGAAACAGTCTTCCAGCCTTTATTTTTCTTAATTTGACAAAGCCACATGGGCTCTGCCTGTCTGTCAGTGTTTCTCCCAGGACTGTCATATTTCCAGCTTCATGATGAATTGGGCTGCGGGTATCTGACATCTCTGAGCTCGGGTGGCTGGTGACATCACCGCAGGGCATCTGCACGCTGTCTAAAATGACAAGGCCTGACACTCAGCCCAGCTTCCTCCCCTCGCTTGAAGGGGCTCAGAAGGGAAAGCCTGTGGGCAGAAGCTCAGCTGGCATGTCCTGCAGGGAACGGTGCCTCCTGGGGGTGGTTTTGCTCCTCAGGGCTCTCAGGGGCTGGTATAATAGACAGCTGGGCAGTTGAGGGAGGGAGAGGAGATGGCTGGCCTTGCCCAGTGCTTCCCTGAAACCTCAGTATGAAACATGACATCATGGACAACTCCTACCCCAAAAAAGTCTTTACCATAGTAATCCGGGCACTTCGACTTTACTAGAACTTTAACCTTGTTGCCAGAACTGGCTTTTTTACCTTACAAGTCTCCAATTCCCCTCAGGGCAGCTGATCCTAAGTGCCTTCTTTAAAGAAGGCAGTAGATTAGAAATAGGATCCTCATCCCCCAACTTTCTCTGCACTACTGGATTGGCAAGTTTCAAACAACATAATTTTGTCTGCTACCAATGAATATGCCAACCATAACAGCACTTCCCTTGACAGTCATTATTTTAGGGCTTCCTATGGAACTTACTTTGCTTAAACAAGTTGTAGGATTGATTTTTTTACTTCTTAATGCCGTCTGCTTTTTCACTTTCAGCATATTTTTTTAGAAGCAGAGAGGAGCCTCAGCGTTTCTGGGGCTTAGTGGCAGGGGTTTGCCCCATGCCGTGGGTGGGAGTGACAGCTGGAACATGGGAAGGCAGAGATGGGGGGGAAGTGGCTGGGGGCTTCTGTGATTCTGAGATGTTGGTGGGCAATGACTGGCAAATCTTAAAAATCACTGGAACTAGATAAAAATTTTGCCTCTCTGCCACCCATTCACCGTTTTCGAATTTCCACTGCTTCAGTAACATCTAGTTCACTCCTTTCATCTCTTTTAGGAAAACCATTGAACTAGAGGAGACGAGCAGGCTAGTGCATGAGAATATTTAAAAAGTACGTCCTTCAAAGAGCAACCCACTGCAGGGCAGCTGCCTCTGCAGGATGGGTGCATGAGTATCCGAGGAGCACCATGCACCCAGTTCTAGCATGGCCCAAGCAAGGGTGCCGGGGAGCTTGAGCAGGACTGGAAGTCTTGCTTCCCGGGAGGTGGTAATAGCACCAACAACAATGGTGCCAGCTCACAGGTTTCCAGCACTTTCAAAGGCAATGGGTGCTGGGCTCAGCTATCACCCACCTGAGATCTCAGCTTACCCTTCCAGGGAGGAAGATACCATTCTCAACCCATTTTACTGAGCAAGATATTTAAGCTTCAAAGGAATAAATAACTTCTCTGAAAGTGCAAAGGTATTAAATGATAGAGCTGAGATTCAAACCCAGATCTGTCTGATTAAGGAGTTCATCCAAATTCATTATCACAAGATATGACTCAGGCCACGGAACTGAGGGATAATTCTGGGCTTTTGCGGTTGGCGTGGTGGCTGACAAACATAGTTTTCTGAGCCATTTGATAGAAATCGAATTAACTCCAGGTCCTTCAGATGCTCCAGGTGGCTGTTGCTTCTGCTACCTCTTTGCCAACCCAATGTGCACGAATGTGTAGAACCACGTACACTGCCCCAGGTCACTTCAAGACAAATAATGGTGTATGCGGGGTGGAGTGCAGAGGGACAGTATAGGGCAGGGTGCTCAGTTCTTTGTTTTCATACTAGTGTACCTGCCTGGAGAAGAGTGGCAGGGAGGAAGTGTGGTGTGGCCTGTAGAGAACTGGGCTAAAATAGACAAAGTCACTGACAACACCAGGCAGTTCCATGCAAAACTCATAGAGAATCTTTGGTCTCGGGTGGAAGGTGAGGCTGAGAAATGGAACGATCTTGGGCAGCTGATGTCAAAGGCTGATTCCTCGTCAATATTAGCCTGAACTTTTTTCATTTCGTTGTGTCATACTGTCTGAAGTTCACAAGCCTACCAGTTGTTTAATCTTTTTGGTTAACATGGACCCTAAAAATGACAAATGCCTTTTGAAGGATCAATAATTTATTAATCAGGAACATGTTGATATAAATTCATTCAACCAAACGGCTTTTTTCTAACACTTAAGATTAACCACACTAGGAAAATGGCAGTAGTACTTGGGCAGAGATGAAAGTAAACTTCCAAACATAGAGAAGGGAAGTTAACATCCATCAGGGCCTCCCATTTGCCAACCGCTCACAGTGACCATATATAGTGAGGCAGATGCTGCTGTCTTCCATGTGACAGATGAGGAAACTGAGGCTTAGAGAGGGGAAGAGTGAGTGAAGGGGCCTGAGACAGAGCTGGACAGAGGCAGCTAAGCAGGAGAAAGCCAAGGGACAGAAACTTCTAGAAGGTGGTGGGAGAGGTTGACAGTGACTACTTCCCTCTCTCTAGACCTCATGAGAACACGATCTTCTGTGAACATAAGGTCTATTATCTGTCAAGAATCAGTAGCTGCCGTGGACCGGATGTTTGTCTTTCATCCCCCACACCCCAACTTATATGTTGAAGCTTTAATCCCCCTGGGATGGAGTTAGGAGGTGGGGCCTTTGGGAGGTGGTTAAGTTTAGATGGGGTCACGAGGGTGGAGCACATGATGGAATTAGTGCCCTTATAAGAAAAGGGAGAGACCAGCACCCTTCCTCTCTCTGCCACGTGGGGAGACAGTGAGAAGGTTGCAAACCAGGCAGAGGGCCCTCCTCAGAAACCAAATTGACAGGCACCTTGATCTTGGACTTCCCAGCTTCCAGAACTGTGAGAAATACATTTCTGTTGTTTAAACCACCCAGTCTATTGTACACTGTTATAGCAAAGTGAACTGACAAGAAGGTGGCTTAGGTTACCACTTTCTTTTGTATTCAAACATATTCCCTTGAAATGAAGCCCTCGCTGTGTTGTGTGGGTTTGGATTCTCCAGTGTCTCCTCACACGCTCACTCACAAATCACTTTCTAGGGTTGGCTTCTTTTCAGATAGCTGGCTCTACCCATTACATATTGATTCTGAGTTTCTGTCTCATGAGGCTCCTTAGTTTCCAGTTCTTCTGCATGCCTTATTTGTGCAGTAATGGTACATTTCTCTAGAGTAAGAGGGTCTTGATAATTTTGCATAAGCTGAAAAGAAAAGGGCAGGTGCAGCACAAATGGTTGTGACTTGCAAGCACTGCAAAGAGACACCAGCCACCGGGAAAGCGGTGGTTAACGTTGGCTCCACGCCCTTGTTCCTGCATCTGCCCAACATGGACAAAGATGCTGCATGGACCAGCCTTCCTCTTGTGAAGAGGAGCTTGTGCTCTGTAAAGCCTTACTGTGGTGCGCCTCAGGGGAGCAGGGTCCCGGACAACCATCTCCACGCCAACAGGGCGGCCATCTTTGGTAGCATTTTGTGCCTCATAACGTGTTTTAAATTAAAATACGTCATGTTTTTCTTCTCTACTAAGGCCTTACTGTTGTGTCGGAAAACAATTACAGAGATTGTACTAATTAATTTGGTCTTATTTTATCCATTTAGAGTGCAAGGGTCTCAAACTGTATATGGAAATTGAAGAAACTTGATATGGAAATTTTCTTTTTCTTTCCCTTTTTTTTTTTTTGAGACAAGAGTTTTGCTCTTGTTGCCCAGGCTGGAGTGCAATGGCGTGATCTCAGCTCACTGCAACCTCCACCTCCCGGGTTCAAGCAGTTCTCCTGCCTCAGCCTCCCGAGTAGCTGGGATTACAGGCACGTGCCACCACACCCGGCTAATTTTGTATTTTTAGTAGAGACGAGGTTTCTCCATGTTGGTCAGGCTGGTCTTGAATTCCCGACCTCAGGTGATCCTCCCAAAGTGCTGGAATTACAGGCGTGAGCCACCGCACCGGGCCGATATGGAATTTCTCAATGGGAACCCAAATCTCTGGCATTTTGGTCAGCAGGTTTCAGAAGGAGTTACGTGATAAAGTCGCTCCCATACAATTCTGTTTTGGCAAACTCTCGCTTACTCATTGACTATAACCACCATGTGTTGGGAATTGTGCCAGAGCTGTTGGGGAAATGGTGAACCACACAGTTAGTCAATCAGGAAGAAGCAGGTGTATTAAGGACTTACAATGTGAAAGAAAGGGTGATGCCTTGCTTATGGTTGTCAGCGCAGGGTTTCTCAGCTGCAGCCTGATTGCCATTTGAGGCCAGATAATTCTCTGTATGGGGCTGCCCTGTGCACTGTAGGACATATAGCAGCATCCCTGGCCTCTACCCACTAAGAGCCATTTATTACATGACTCCAGTTATCACAACCATGAATATTTCTAGATATTACTAAATGTCCCCTGGGGCACCAGTTCTTCCTTGGGGAGAACCCCTGATTTAAGGGAGTGGAGGGAAAGCTTTGAGGAAGACAGTGGCATCAAATAGAAGATGGGGATGCGGTAGGAGGTGGGTACATGGGTATTGAGGCAGGAGCCAAGTATCCTTTTTCAGAGACCAAGAAAGCTCAAGAACACAGAATTGGAGGTAGGAATTGTGTTTGGAAATAAGAAGTCATTCTTTAAATAAAAATAGCTGCCATTTATTGAGTCCTGAGTTAATGTCAAATGTTTTAAATGCACCAGCTCATGTGATCTTCACAGTCACTCATTTTTCAAATATAAAAATCAAGGCTTGGAGAGATGCAGTGACCTGGTGAAATTACAGCTTTGTATCGGCAGGCACAGGAGTTTCTTTTGGGGCTCATAATCAATATTCTAAAAATGGATCTCATCCTTGTGTCAGGTGCTATTTCTGTTTCCTCCTTGCCTTTCCTAGGCCTGTGAGAAATGGGCTCTTGGAGATGGTGGCATCTCCCATGGTGCATGGAACAGGAGGGAGCGGGAGGGCTGGGGAAGGGTGGACTGAAGACACAGTCCTGCAGGGACCAAATAGAGAGAGGCAGCTTTTTGTTTTTTTAAAACATCTGCATCTGGAACGATGCAGATCAGTGGGCAACTCTATGATTAAAACAAATGTGTCATTTCATCACCTGAGAGATGGAGATGGGGGCAATCCTCATCAGAGGAATGAGAGTTTCCCAAAACCACTTCTATTCCGTTTTCAGGGGCATCTGTGTGTTTTGTTAGTGGGAACTTCCCTGCTCAGAATAAAAACCAAAGTCCTTACAGTGACTGCCTTTCCCCATCTCTCAGTTCCTCCTCCGACCACCCACCCCTATTCAGTCACTCTCCGGTCCCTGCTTCTTGGTGGTCCTGGGCCCCCTGGCCATGTTCCGGGCCATCTTAGGGCTTTTGTACATGCTGATTCTTTTGCCTAAAATGCTCTTCCCAGTAAGCTGCTTGGCTAAATCCCTCACCTCCCCTAGAGGTTCATTAAAACAGCACCTGTCAGTAAATTTCCCTTTTCTCGATAGCAATGATCTTTGAACATACTAATGTATTTTATGTATTTCATTCGTTGTCTGTTTTCTTCCTCTAGAATGCAAATCTCATGAAGGTGAGAAGCTGCTCTGCTATTCTCACTGCTGTAGGCTCGGAGACCTCAGAGCAGTGTCCAGCATGTAGTAGGTGCTATTCAAAATAATTTGAATCAATGAGTCAGTTTCCTTGTTGGACAGGCTGATTGGGTAAAATGAAGCATACATGCAAGGGTGTGTCCATGGTGCATGTAGAAAGCGGAACGCCATCTGGAGAACCACATTCCTATGCTGCTCCACTTGAGTGGCGGCCACTCTCTCCACCTGCCCAGTCCACCACGGAGGTCCCAGGAAGAGCGGTAATGATACAACCTGGTGCTTTTCTGCATAGTCACGGTCTGTTGGATCCTTGTGAGTTTGAGCTTGTCTTGGCATGAAAAGAATAATCACATTTGGGGGAATAAAAGTAATTACTCTATATTGCTTAATATACCTAATAACTGTTTAATAAAGGATATAAAAATTTCCCTGCTTTTCACCTTAGTAAATGTCACTCAGTCTACAACCTAATTACTTCAATTTTCCATTTAGAAAATTAATTCATTTCGATGGTATGAAAAAGCAGCTGAGAAATTTTCCTTTCTGGCCACAGCCTTAGCAACTCAGATGAGTTCACAGACCTCTCAGTTCTCAGAGGTCAAGAGCAGAGCTTTCCAAGTCAGCTAAATGGACTTCCACCTATGGCACTGCTCCTGGCGTCTGACCTGAAGTAAATCAATTAAAGCAGATATGAGATGCTCAGATTTCTCTCCCTCCCTGTCTCTCTTTCCATTTCTTCTTGCAGACTTGCCTGATCCAGAGATCTTAGCAGCAACATTAAATATGATAGGACTTCAGTGTCTCTGTGTCTTAGTTTTCCCATTTGTGAAGGGGAAGGAGGAAATGAAATTAATTGTCAAGTACCTACTGTGTGTTAGATATTTAGCTAGGCATTCTGTATATCTTTTTTCATTTAATTCTCATACCTTTGTTAAGTGAATAGAGGAATGGATGAATAATGATTAATATTGGCTAACGTTTAATAAATGCCCACTGTCTTTCAAGTGTTATGCTAAGATTTTTACATGAATTTTCTCAGTTAACTCACATCACAGCTGTGTGAGGTAAGTGTTGTTATTATTAACCTAATCTTCTAGGTAGGAAAATGGGGGTTTAATAAAGGTAATAATTTGGCCAAATCATATAGCTTATAAGTAGTCGAGCCTGATGGATAGGTATTATGTTTTCCCAGTTTAAACAAAGCTCACAATTTTTCAATCCCCTTTTCAAGATCGCCAAGCTAGTATGTGGCAGGTCGGACTACAAAGTATTTCTTTATTGTATTACATGCTTAGCTTCTTCTCAGTGGCTTCCCACGGCCTGTGTGATGCTCTATTTAACACTGAGATAATCCTTGGATGCAAAATTGTGATGGGCTGCAAAGGCACTTGTGCAGTGCGGTGCACGCCAGTCATCAGAGCAGAGGTCCTGCCGCCGTGGACCTGCCAAGCCAGCGAGCTCCGTGTCACTGCCCAGTGGGGCTGGGCCTCCCACACGCTTCCCAGTGGAAGATTCTGTCCTCCAAGTGTGAGGCCTGGCAAGTCCCTGGCTGAGGGAAGGGCTGAGTCACAGCTACTTCTGTGGTCCCTGCGACAGAGCAGGGAAGCTGCAGGGAAAGCCCTGTGAGAAATGGGCTCTTGGAGATGGTGGCATCTCCCATGGTGCATGGAACGGGAGGGAGCGGGAGGGCTGGGGAAGGGTGGACTGAAGACACAGTCCTGCAGGGACCAAATAGAGAGAGGCAGCTTTTTGTTTTTTTAAAGAAGCATATTCCCTCGGTGGTGATGCCTATCTCTATGAAATTCAGAGTTTAAGCCCGGTCCAGATGATTTCACTGATGACTGGCGTTAAGCTCCTTAAAGCAGGGATTTAAAATGGAAAGTGCTCTCACAGTGGGCTGGAGTGGCATTATCAGACTACTGCAGTCTCATTATAAAAACCGACACACCAAATACTAATTACAAGTTTCCTTTGAGTAAGGAGACTTTAATAGATTCTTGCCTTTTTGTTCTTTTCCACCCAGTGATAACAATTGATTGTGACTAAATCTGAATAATACTTACTTTCCCCCTTTCTCTTGCTTCCTCCAACAGTGAGGGCACAGTCCC
Organism: Homo sapiens; assembly: GCF_000001405.40. Taxonomy (NCBI): domain Eukaryota; kingdom Metazoa; phylum Chordata; class Mammalia; order Primates; family Hominidae; genus Homo; species Homo sapiens. The sequence goes on from NC_000006.12 coordinate 163,828,825, forward strand.
TGAAGCTGAGGGCATGTCTCATAGATCTACCTTGTTCTAGGCTGACACTTGTTTGCAGGGCCCCAGGCAATCCCTGTGGGCCTTTAATCAATAGCTAGTACTGTACTGGGATGATGGTGATGTCTGGTCAATAACCACACGTGATAAAAAGAATAAAGTTTGTATCCTTAAACCACCTGAGACAATTCCCAGGCAGGATCTTTAATTGAAGGAAGAAGGAGGGTTGTGGCGGCTTGTTCAGGTTTCACAGGGCACAGCTTGCAGCCAGACTGTGGAGGGCTTCCATGGGACATGACAGCCAGCAGTGCGATTAAAGAAGCCACCGACGGAAATGCAAGGGACACCCCTCTTTCATTCTTCAGCTGTCAACCCTAAATGCAGACAGATCAGTAGATGATTGCTATTAAAAAGAATAATTAAACTCGTTTTCCTTAAAGAGTAAAGCTCTTTTCAAAGTATGATGGATCATTCACTTTTAAAACTTACAAATTACTGATGAGGAAGATAAAAGGTTTTTCCCCTTAATTTTACAGATGTAAGAATTCAAATCTGCACAACGCTAGATGGAGAAGCTGGAGTGGGAAATACTGATAGTATTTAGGGTTGTTGATATGGGCCAATGGTTTTGCCCCAGTACACTCTGCCTAGAGCGAATACCTTCATTTTCTTGTCTGGTTTTCTGAGATTCTTTACTGATGATGTTTACTGCTAGAATTTAAAGGATTAAAAAAAATGCATAAAATGACATCGAAACAGTGCAAATGGAGCTTGAATAAGAAAAATGTTCTTTACTGAAGCAAGGATGAGAGTGCAACACATTTTTAATAGTTACATGTTAGGCAAGGCATACATTTAAAAGTTATGAACTTTAATATTTTATGTCAAAGAGAATAATTGTAATCTATTCCTGTTCACCAGGATTGTGATCCTGCCAGGAATTGTGTTGGGTGCTGGTAACAGTTCATCCCGGTAATAAGAAATTGGACTCTGGTTTTGCAAAAGAACAACCAGGAAACTGGTTGAGTGTCCAGCAGGGTCAGTGTCTTAAATATGGCATTATCTGAAATTGCACCATTTCTTGGATACGTCAAGATTACATTTTACTCATCTGGATTTTCTATCTCTTTTTTACAGGGAGAATTTAATAGTTTTTAAAGAGAATGATTTGTATTATAAAATATACCAGATACACTGTGCATCCTTTTCAAGATTTGTGATGTACCTTTGTGTATGGATGTTTACTTCTGAGGAGGGAGGCAGGGCATTTAGTGAAGGAGAGTGGCTGTGGCCACTCCGTGGTGGAGACTGCGTGGATAGCACATCGTGCGGTGCCTGTGACAGAGGAGGAACTCAAGGAGCTGTAGCTATTATAATGCTGGTATTTTATTTGCCTTGTAAATATCTTCTATTAAGTCAAGTCTCACAAAATTGCACATATTTGCCTAGTTTTGATCTATAAAAATGGCAATTTCATATGATCAACCTGATGGTAATATAGCAACAGAAACCTCATAGTAAAGTATCTGCAGTTGCCAGCGTCCAAGGAATGAATGGAGATGGGGTTAAGAAAGCAGCACCCTTGGAAAGTGTGGAGCTGGGTTGAGGGGCTGGATGGTTATGGAGGCCCTTGTGGGAGTGCTTCCCAACTCCCTCGTCATCCTGCATGGGATAAGAGAGGACTCGGACACCTCCGGGCTAAGACCTTAGTACAGCTGGGACAAAGCTGTTCAGTGCTCAGTGGAAGCAGCAACAGAACCAAGATCTGCTGAGTCTGAGTCAGTTTCCTCTCTGATTTGACCTCAGCCACTCAGAGACAAGGTGAAAACGTTCCTCCTAAGGTGAAAAGGGTCAGCCTTTCTTCCTGCAATAGGGGGCATTTACTTGGAAACAAGGCTTCCAGTTGCTGCAGGGCTGAGTCTCGCTAGTTCAGACATGGTAGCCTTTTAAAGGCCAAGCTGGGCTCAATTCCCTTCAACAAGGTGCTTCAGGGTATCCTTGATGGACTGCATAATCTTTTAAACCTAACTACTTGCCTGAGGGTGTTTTGGTGCAATGAGAATGCCTGAGATATTCTCCCCTCTCTACCCTGCAGAACCTTCTAAAGCTCAGCGGATGTATAGATATGAAGACCCATTGAAGCATTATTATTTTTTCCCGATCTATATGTTGCAAATAATACCAGCACAGCTGCTTTTTGTGGCATATTTCTGAGTTGGGAATTAGAAGCATTTTGAGCTGTTTTTAGATGGTATCATCTCTGAGCAAGATGTCTTCCCCTGAAAAGGTCTTGCAAAATCAATATCGATTGATTCTTAGGATGAGGCAAATAATATGTGCCTTTACAGTCTTTTCTATATCAGAATCAATTCCAGGCCAACAGACAGAACTTTGAGCTTTAAAGATTGGTGACCTTAATAACTCTGGCAAAAGGCCTTGTGAGAAACTATTGTAAAGGATTCTTTATTGCTACGCACCACACATGGAAATAACTTCCAACTTTCTCTCCCAGGTACTTATGAGAATTGCGGCCAAATCCCAAAAGGCATGAAGTGGCTCCTCATGACCTTCTAAATGTATGTGTTAATTATGATAAGGCTACTAGCTGTAACAGATAAGCCCTGAAATTACAGTTAATACAGTTGAATTTATTGCTTATGGAATAGTCCAGGAAGCTTGTTCAGTAGACAGACTTCCACGTAGTGACTCAGGGATCCAAGCTCCTTTCCTGTTATGGCTCCATTATCTTTTCCATGCGGCTTCCATGTTCACAGTGAAGGGGGAATAAAACGGGTTGGTGAAGATACATTAGCCTCTTAATTCAGCCCACGGAAACCACACATTACATCTGCTTCCAGCTCTTAAGAACGGGTATCATGGCCCCATCTAGATGCAAGAGGAGCTGGACAATGTGGTCCTTGCCCAGGCACTCACTTCCTTGCAACACTGCTACACTGTGGAAGGGGAGCACACATCTTTGTCAGACATCTGACTGTCTCTGACACTGTAGAATATCACTCATGCTTTGTTCTCATTAAAGAATCCTAATGTCATGTACTTGGAATTTTTTTCTGAAGGATTTGAAGACTCTACATTCTTAAAAAGATGCTTTCTCCTGCAGAATCTGCCATCTTAGCCCTGAGGGGTCAAGCTTCATGGGCATAACCCTCCACAGCTTCTGCTGGGTCTTGCATCCTTGACTTCTTGTGCTCTAGCGACTCTGTGGGAAGGAGTCAGCTGCTTTCACGCTACAGACAGCATTTCTATTACAATTGTCACCTTTGATTTCTGTGACATCATTGATATCATTAGGGAGAGGCTTTTCTTGGGCCATTAAGAATGTCAAATTTGGTTCAGTCAGAAAGCAGTGTTGGAGAAATTCACTGTGAACACTGCATGCAACGTAATTCCACATAGGCATCTAGGAAGCCTCCAATATTGCGTGGTTGAGCCATTGACATAATTTTCCAGTAACTCAGAGATGTGCTCATCAGGCTTTTGATTTCACTTATAAAATTTAAATCTCTGAACAATGATGGATAGTTCTGGTTAGTGTACCATCATTCCACAAAGGCATTAATTTTTGTATTCTTTACTCAACAGAAGCATGGAGGGAGCTCATGGATAAGTGGATAGGAGCTGGGGCTTTGAAATCAGACCTTTTAAGCTTGCCAGGCTTCAGTTGCCTCATCCAGTGGGAGTAATGCTAGTGCCCATCTCATGGGAGGCCCCTGAGTGTAATGGGTGAGGTAAGCAAGTACATCACTTAGCCCAGCTTAACCTAGGGTTTGGCACATGAAGTGCTCAATAAATAGTAGATCTTCTCATTCTTCTTCTCCTCCTGCATTAGTTTCCTACTGATGCTATAATAAATTACCACAAACAAATGCACCATCTTACAGTCCTGTGGTTAGAAATCCAGCATGGGTGTCCCTGGGCTAAAATCAAGGTGTCAGTGCAGCGGGTTTCTTCTGGAGGCTCTATGGGAAAATTTGTCCCCTTACCTTTTCCAGCTTCTAGAGGCTGCCTGCTCTCTGTGGCTCGTGGACTTTTTCTCCATCTCCAAAACCAGCAATGGCAGGTTGAGCCCTTCTCACATCACAGCTCATCTTTCCAACCTACTCATATGCCTCGTTCTTCCATTTCTGTGGACCCTGTGATTACAGTGGCCACCTGGACCATCCAGGACAATTTCCCTATTTTAAGGTCAGCGGATTAGCAAACTTAATTTCATCTGCAGCCTAATTCCTCTTTCCCAGGTAGCCTCACATATTCACAGGTTGGGGATCAAGAGGCGAACATCTCTGGGAAGACATTATTCTGCCTAGCCCGTGTTGGAACTGGCTGGGTGCAGTGGCTCACACCTGATATCCCAACACTTTGGGAAGCCAAGATGGGAGGATCTCTTGAGGCCAGGAGATTGAGACTAGTCTGGGTAGCATAGCGCGACCCTGTCTCTACAAAAAAAGAAAAAAGCTGGATGTGATGGTGCACACCTGTAGTTCCAGCTCCTTGGGAAGCCAAGGCAGGAAGATCTTGAGCCCAGGAGTTTAAGGCTGCAGTGTACCATCATGGTTGTGCCACTGTACTCTAGCCTGGGTGACAGCGAGACCTTGTCAAAACAAAAAAACAAAAAAACAAAAAACAAAAAACAGCTGGAACTCTTTACATTCTGATTTCCTTGGTGCTCTGCTCTGTCATTTTTTGTTTTAGAGTGAACTACTCTTAAAATACTAGTCTTCTGAAGTTGTTTTTCTGATGTCTAACTTCTGTTTTGGCTTCAAAGCAACAATTTTAAGCACAACGGACCAGAATAGAGCTAATGTTCTATTATTTACCAGTAGCTATTAAGAGCAAAATAATAGTGCATATTATCATTTTTCCCCTTGGAGGCTCTCATGTCACTAGAAAATATGTCACGTTGGGGAGTCAATACAAACCAGCAAAGAAAATGCTCTGAATGCTTATTCAATACGCGGGCATCCATTTCCACAAAGTGATTCGGGGATGACTCCACATTGACTCTGCTATAAGCAAAATACTCAAAAGGACAAAACAAAATTTAAAATTAAAAAAAGAACACCCAAGTTACTGCTGTAGAACTTGTGATGCCTTGACATGTATTCCCTTCATGGGGTGTTTGCATTTATGTAAGCATCAAGGTCTTTGGCCAATGACAGGGGTGATGCTGATGGACCCTTTCCAGGCCACCGGTGGAAGAGGGGTTGAGGGTCGGCCTTGGGTTGTTTATTAGGGCTGGTATTAGGGCTGGTCCTGCGGCTGGCATTCGTGACCACTCATTCCCTCCTCATATCCTTTCAGATCTTTTCGCAGGGACTTGAAAGGTAGCTCCTTGCACAGCAGAGCTTTTCTGCCAGGTGGAGAGAGAGAACTGGTTAATTCGCCTGGAGCATCTCTCTGAGCCTTAGCATCCAGCAAGGATGCATCCGACACTCCTGGGCTTTGGTCCGGCCTTCTCAGCAGGGCTCCTGGGCCTGTAGGCGTCCTCTGCCCCCGCCCCCAGCCTCACTCCAGGGCCCCTCCCCTCCACAGGAGCCGTGCATGTGGCTGCCTCGCTGCTGGGGCACTGGAAAGGACGGAGAAAAGGCGGGGCGGTACGCCAAGGAGAGTGGGAGGCATGGCCTCCGGCCCTGTGCGGGCTCGTGTGGGCGGCACCGGCGGCCTCATGGGCATCTGAACCCAGTCCCCGGGAGGCCACCCATGGCCTGGCAGAGGGGCGCCGGCCGCGTGGCTCTGGAGCCCGTCTGGGCCCCTCTCCAGGCCAGGAAAGCGCGACGGCTCCTTCTCGGCTCAGACGCTCCAGACGGAAAAACCAACCCCCAGCAAAACCCACACCCTCTCCCCAGCCACCAAAGCCCGTGCCAGGAGTGGCCAGGAGGGACCCGCAGGACAGGAAAGACCCCGCGGCTGCATGGAGCAAGTCGCTCTCCTGGCGCAGCTCTCCTGCCCTACGGGGCGGGGCGGGGCGGCTCCAGGTACTCACGGGCTCCCAGCACCCGGGCCCGACCCTCCCTGCTAGGCCGTGGCTTGGATTTTTCTTGACAAACTCCAGCCTTTCGCTAGCCCTGCACCTGCAGCCATGGCCTCGCCCGCTGCTTGGAACAGCACAGAAGCGCAACCTTCCTCCTCGTCCTGGTAATACTCGGAGTCTGGCGGATAAGCCGTCACAGGGCTGGACCACACGTCCGGGGAATACCTGGTCTGATCGGAGGCAGTGCAGCCCCAGACGACGAGACATCAGCTTACACCTGCCGGGACATCAAACAAGCAAAAGACAAATGTGGGAGAGGATGGGGAGAAACTGGGTCCCTTGCTGCACTGTTGGTGGAAATGTCAGCCATTATGGAAAACAGTGTGGAGGTTCCGCAAAAAATTAAAGATAGAATTAGCACATGATCCAGCAATCCCACTTCTGGGTATTTATACGAAAGAATTGAAATCAGGGTCTTGAAGAGATACTAGCACTCCCACATTCACTGTAACACTATTCACGTGGACAAGATGTAGAAACAAACAAAGTGTCCATCAACAATGAATAAAGAAATGGTGCTATCCACATACACAGTGGAATATTATTCAGCCTCAAAAAAGAAGGAAATTCTGCAACATGCGGTAGTTTGGATGAACCTTGAGGATATTACATGAAGTAAAATAAGTCACAGAAAGACAAGTCCTGCATGATCCCACTTAATACAAGGGATCGAAAATAGTCAAATTCATAGAATCAGAGTGGAATGGGGGTTTCCAGGATTGGAGAAGGGGGAACTGGGAGTGAGTAATCAGGAGGTGTAAAGTTTCAGTCCAGCAGGATGAATAAGCTCAAGAGCTCTGCTGTACAACATTGAGAATGCGTCTCATAACTGTTCTCACCACAATAAAATAAATACAAACATAAAATGGTGGGGGCTCTAGCACCGGGGGTCATCATTTAAAACTTGCCACTGCCACTGACCTTTGTAATCTCCGGCAGTGACTCAGCCTTCCTAGGCCTCAGTTTCCCCATCGGTAAAGTGATAAGGATGCTCGTATGTCTAGGCAGATGTGGGAATGAAGCGAATGACCCCTTTGCCTGGCGCCTGGCATGCAGTAGTGTGTTAGTGTAGCTAAGGCATTTTATCAAGTCCAGTTGCTTGGGGAGAACAACACTAAAACTTGTTTAAGCACGTGATTGGATGTCGTCTTATCATCTGGATATTTTGAGGGACAGAAGTTCTTCCAACACCACATGAATGAACTAATGTATGGCTAAAGAGATTAATGCGCACGCTGGTCTATTTTTATGTTCCCTGGCCTCTTTTGGCCCAACATTTACATACTTCCCTCCCCACAATTCTTTTTTCTTTTTTCTTTTTTTGAGACGGAGTCTCGCTCTGTGCCCAGGCTGGAGTGCAGTGGTGCGATCTCTGCTCACTGCAACCTCTGCCTCCTGGGTTCAAGCAATTCTCCTGCCTCAGCCTCCCGAGTGGCTGGAATTACAGGTGTGTGCCACTACACCTGGCTAATTTTTGTATTTTTAGTAGAGACAGGATTTCACCATATTGACCAGGCTGGTCTCGACCTCCTGACCTCAGGTGATCTGCCTGCCTCAGCCTCCCAAAGTGCTGGGATTACAGGTGTGAGCTACTGCACCCGGCCCTTCCTCACATTTAAAGTATCATCAGTCTATAAGTTCTTAAATTGTGTTGGCTATTAAAAAAGAGAAATAGAAAGATTGAAGAAATGTGCACAATAGAAAATCTCTGCTGGAGCCTATCAGGTGAATGGAGGAGGCTGAGGGCTTTTGAATGACATGTCTTGTAGTTGACAGCCCTTAATCTTCGAAGGCTCTTCCCTTCCGAGGTGACCATGGCTGCTGCTTTAGAGCCATGATTAAAATTACCTATAATGCTTAAAAGATTTAGGGATCTGCATGGAAATGTCCGCTCAGAGTTCTGTATAGACTTACATTAGCTTAGAGGCAATGAATCCATTAAGAGGGACATTTCTGGTGAAATTAACCAATTTTTCCCTAATGTGAATTTTTGCCATGGTGTTGTCTCAGAAAAAGCATCATTTAACCACCCCCACCCCTAATGGTTTTAGAAGTCCATAGACGGAATGATATTCATCATCTCTATTATCTGTTTAGCTACAGAGGATTCTTTGCCAAATATGTTAATGAATTAGCTCTGTATTTCCAACTCCAGGGAGATTGTCTCTCATTAGAGGCTGAAGTGGCCCCTGTGTGTGGTTGCTCAGTAGCTCAGCTGGATGCTGCTTTGGGAGGCTATATAAAGAAAAACAACATCAGTATAATTATAAGCCAAAAAAAAAAAAAAAAAAAAGAACAAAACAACTGTCAGAGTCAGATGCTTGTCATGTGATTTTATAAGGTTGGTGTGCCTTTTCTTGAGACTTGGTAAATGGAAGGCTTGAGATGTGGGCTGTTATTGAAATAAGAAAATAATACCCTTCTGTTCGATATCACTGACACAACCCTGAATGCAGGAGAAAAACAAAAACCAAGCCCTTTAAAATACATCTGCCATTTTAAATGTGTTGCTGCACTTTGCTCTTCGGCAAAGCCGTTTTTTGACTCAGTTGTGGGATCTGATTTAGTTCGGAGCTGCTGTCTGTATCATTTTGTTATGGTTAATGCTATGCCAGGGACCAGCGAAGCGTAAAAGGCCATCTTTGTTCTCAGGGCAGCAATGATTTCTATGTCCTTAAGGTTGAAGAAAAAGAGTGATATTCTTATTTTGTTGGCTGGAACACCAAAAAGAATAAAATAAGCAAGTAGTAGGAACACAATTATACGTGTGGGTTTTTTAAAGAGACAGAGACAGAATGCATGGAGACCTCCCCCCACCTCCTCTGTTGGAGTTTGGCTGCCTCTACAGAAAATCCACATCCTTCCAGCTTTGGCCAGCCTGGGTCCTCCGCAGAATGCCGAGTCCCTTTCTGCCCTGTCCAATCATGCTCTGATACCCGACCAGACATGCGTGTGCAACCCTCACTATCAGGAGAACGTGTCTGTGAAGCTGAGGAACGTGAGGAAGCCAGCTCCCGCTAAGAGCATGGTTGTAGCAGTGTGAACTTCAATGCAGCTGAAATCTTTATGGTTTCTGGCGCGTGCAGGGAGCCCAGTGAGGTCACGCCAGCGTCTGTGACCCCCTGCTCCCTCTCCCTTTCCCATCCCCCTGCACTGACATCGACATTTGGCCCAAACCCTTTCCTAACGCTGTAACATAATTCATTAGGACAGCCTTAATGAGCTGATAATTAGTCTGGTGGGAGGAGGTGAAAAGGGAGGGGGCAGAAATGCCAGACTCTGAGAAAGTTGAGCCGGCTGGGGCGTCTTAGTGAGCCCTAGAGAGCTTTTTGTCAACAAAATGGATCACGCTTGCAGGCAGTAAAACTTTCAAATGACCTTCATGTCAAAATATTAGGCTGCTGTTTTTTGCTGGATGGTGGTTTCATAAACATAAAAAGCACACATATCATTCAGAGTACAGCAAAATTTGTCTCGAATATGTGGAGCTCCCCCTCTTTATTTTTTCAGAAAGACTAATGTAGCCTCCATGCAGTGGAGAAAATGACAGAATATCCCAGCCTTATACTTCAGCTGAAATAGATATTTACGGTAGGCTTGTCTGCTCTTCAGCCTTTTTTTTTTTTCTAAAGGAAGCACTAAACTATATACATGAGTATATAAATAGATACAAGAGAAAGATATAAATCCTACAGAAATTTTGCTTATTTTCATTCAGGAAAATTGCCCACTGAATTCTGCCATTTACAGAAAAGGCAAGGACAATAATATGATACTCACAGTTGGAAGACAGAGTTACGATGAACTGCTGAAAGTAACTCTTCTTAATGGGAGAAAAAAAATCATCAGGACTATGGACAATATATATTTTTTCTTTGTCGAAATCATTTCTTCTCAAAGTTAAATGTCACAAAGGCAAATAGATGTTTGAATTTGCACTGTCTAAATGACAAGAAATGTAAATAAATATGGTCCGAAGAATTTGTAGTTTATCTTCCTCTGAAGTGTTGGGGCACTCTCTTATTTAGGGAAGACCAGGCTGAATGAACAACAGAGGACTGGGAAGACATTTAGGATAAGGACCCAGTTTGGGGAACTAAGAAACAATGTTGATTGGAGACAGAAAATCCAGTAACTGATAAAGATTAAAATAGTAATTGTGTGTCATTTTCTAATAGTGGTGTGGTCACCAGTCAATACGGATAATGTACCTTAAAAGTGCTTTGCCAAGAAAAAGGCATTGTCAAATGTTGTATTTATTGTTGCTTTTAGAATTAAGCAGTGATTACTTAGCTTGGGTTTCAGCAGCACCAATAAGAATGGACCCTGCCTTTTTGTTTTACCTTTGACATCCCTGGATCAAATAAAATTATTTCCTGCCCTTAAGATTTGAATTAAGCAAATATGCTACAGAGTAAATCATGACCCATAGTCCTGCGATCAATCTACTTTCCCGTCCAGTGCTGCTTCAACCTGAACGTGCTTGCAAACCAGCAGCAGACGAGGTCTAGTTTAGTGCATCTGGTTGGGGGCCTGAGGGTCTGCATGTCTAACAAGCTCTCCAGCAATGCCATGACTCATGGTTACTGGTCCACCACCCTTGTTGTGGTCCACAACCCTTGTTGCTGGACAACAAACCCTTGGCATGTGGTCACCTTAGAGGTTTCATTTCACAAGACCGGTTCTTCAGACACTGTTTTCTTTTAGCCCCCAGTTGCAGTTTGGGCCTTGACCAGAAGGCAAATGGAAAGGGGGTTTGGCCATGAGTTCACAGTACCTCATTATGCATCAATGTGAGCACAGATTATTCAAGATGGCCCTGTCCATTTTCCTTTTTAAAAATTTTAATAGCGTCAGATCTTATTTATTGTCTATCTACTTTTAGGTTTTAAACAGGGAAGATCTATTTCTTGATGCCTACAATAAAGCTCTTCAACGCAGAAGATGACTCAGTTTCTAATACAAGAAATAAACACAGAGGTGCCTCTCCACAGCCTGAGTGTGTATCTGAGTCTGGTGTTGGGTAGGGCTTGGCAGGGTCGGGACGACTTCTAGATGCATTGGGGGAACTCAGTCTGAAGCTGGGGCTTTCTTTGGAAAAACCAACCCTCAAAAAGGGCTATTAAGACTGATGACCTTGCTGGGCATCCAATGACTTGGAGCTAGTCCAGACTTATAACGTTGTTCATTGGTTGAATTATTTCATTTGAAAAAATGTTTCACACCTGAGCAAGACCATATTCTTCTCCAAGCCATCACCATGCCACACATCTTTGGGTTTATTGCAATTGTGTGTCTCCAGCATCCACTGTAATCTACTTTTAGAGCATAGGGTAGCCTTGGCAGCCTCAATGTCTTGAAGTCACTTTCATGCTATCCCATAGTGAAAAAGCAGAAGGGTCCTGGATGCCCAGGTATAATGGGTTCGTTCCTTGGGGCATCGCTTTGACATCAATCATGGTCTTTTGCACAAGGCCTTTTCTTCAGTCCTCTCTTGCATGACTTCCATCCTCTGCTGATGAGCAGAAACACCTTATAAAGAGAAGTTATCCTCTGTGACTAAAGATTCAGCCAAACTGTTTTCAATCTCCCCCAAGTATTTTAGGATACATTTACTTAAAAACAATAGAATTGCCAATAACATATCATTTTAATCTATTCACTGAAGCAGTTCACTTCAGAAATTTGCTGGGTGTAGTGGCACACACCTGTAGTCCCAGCTGTTTGGGAGGCTAAGGCAGGAGGATGGCGTGAGACCAGGAGTTCTGGGAGCTATGCTGATTGGGTGTCCACACTAAGTTCAGCATCAATATAGTGACTTCTCGGGAGTGGGGGACCACCAGGTTGCCTAAGAAGGAGGAGAGCCAGCCCAGGTTGGAAATGAAGCAGGTGGAAACATCTGTGCTGATCAGTAGTGGGAGTATGCCTGTGAATAGCCACTGCACTCTAGCTTGGGCAATGTTGCATGACCCCTTCTCTAAAAAGAAATCAAATCTGAGTTGTCAACGTTGGCATCTTTGAAGTATCAGAAAATAATACATTTGCTTATCTCAAAAATATAAAATGTAGATTTTCCCCCAATCCAGACAAGCCGTCCTTAGTCTGTCCTTAATTCTGTTCTTTCCATGTTGTTTACTTTGTATCCAGAGTGAACTCTTCATGCATTCTGCTATGTAGGTGGTACTGTTGTCAGGAGAATTAAGCCTAGACCTAAAAAACATTAGGCAGCTGTAAGAGGTTAATGTTTCACAAACCCAAGAGCAAATTGAAAAATTCAAAGGTACACATTTTCCTTCTAGGTTTTCTGTTTAACACCTAGGGTGCTGCTTGTTCTGGTTAGTCTAGAAGGATAGTTTTAGCACTGAAAGTCCAGGAAAACTCTCGGTCCTGAGCCAAGTTGGCTACCCTGAAATACCTGCCTTCACTGATGTCACTTACAATAAAAATAATATGCCATCTTCACATCCCTCCAGCTCTTCCTTATTTACTTATTTTTATTTTCATTCCTTTTGGCCTGTGCCTGATGAATCATCTTCCCTTCCCTGAGCCACTCCTGTTGCCCTCTGGCTGGTGTGATGACTCTAGCTGGTATGATAACTCTGGCAGGTATGATGACCCTGGAGGGTGTGATGACCCCATCTAGTGTGATGACTCTGGCTGGCATAATGACCCCAGCTGGTATGGTGACTCTGGCTGGTGTAATGACCCCAGCTGGTGAGATGACTCTGGCTGGTGTAAGGAGCCCAGCTGGTGTGATGACTCTGGCTGATGTAATGACCCCAGCGATAACTCTGGCTGGTGTAATGACCCCAGATGGTGTGATGACTCTGGCAGGCTGGCACGTGTGATGACTCTAGCACATGCGATGACCCTGGAGGGTGTGATGACCCCAGCTGGTATGATGATTCTGGCAGGCATGATGACTCTAGCAGGTGTGATGACCCTGGAGGGTGTGATGACCCCAGCTGGTGTGATGACTCTGGCTGGTGTAATTATCCCAGCTGTTGTGATGACTCTGGCAGGTGTGACGACCCTGGCTGGTGTGATGACTCTAACAGGTGTGATGACTCTGGCTGGTGTGATGACCCTGGCAGGTGTGATGACCCTGGCTAGTGTTATTTATGATTCTGGCAAGTGTGATGATTCCGGCCTGTTTGATGACTCTGGCTGGTGTAATTACCCCAACTGGTGTGAGAACCCTGGCTGGTGTGATGACCCTGGCTGGTCTGATGACCCTGGCAGGTGTGATGACTCTGGCAGGTTTGATGACTCTGGCTGGTGTGATGAGCCTGGCAGGTGTGATGACCCTGGCTAGTGTTATGATTCTGGCAGGTGTGATGATTCTGGCCTGTTTGATCAGACTCTGGCTGGTGTGATGATCCTGGCTGGTGTGATGGCTGTTTGGCCGGTATCCAACTCCCCTCATGTTCAGTGCAGCGGGTGCTCCCTTCACAAATGCCACTGGCTGGGCCACCAGTGAGCCTGTGCACAGTCAGCCTACATCCACCCCCCGCATTAGTGTTGTTGGTTCATGTCTCCCATTTGTTTCTAACCAAACATTAAGTGAGGGCTATTTGCCAGCAAGAAAATGGGTTTTCTTTTTTTCTCTTGCTACTTTTGCCCACCAAAAGAGGTATTGAGAACTTTAAAGTGACCAGAAAGTTCTCAGCAAAGGAAAAACTGAAGAGACTTCAAGCTCCACACAGCAACAGTTAGCATTAATGATTGGGAGCTGGTCATTCTCACCACCTGAGAACATGAAACAGCTTGATTAGTGACTCCCTTTGGTTGCCAGCTGTGGCTGACATCCTTGGTTACCTCCAATCTTGTTTTCATTATTTCAGTTCCTCACAAGGTAAGTTTTCACAGAATGGCTAGGGATATCTTTCTATCTACTAATTCTCTTCTATACTTTCTTGTAAATTCCACTTATTGAGACTTTATCATAGTTTCAGCCTATTTCAGGGATTTTTCTCTTTTTCCTTTTGTTCATTGTCTTCTTTCTCTTTCTCTGCCTCCTTTCCTCCCTTTACCCTTTTCCCGCCCTCCCTCCCTCTCTTAGAGCTGGAAATGGTGTTCTGTGCAGTGTGGGTTTTCAAAATGTTTACTAACTGGATTCATTTGCTCCACCCTTTATTATATCGTTTCCTGCACATGCTTGCCCAGAAAGTACCCTACACTTAAATATATCAACTTTTGGAGCCAAGAGACTAAATGCCACTATGACACTGATTTAACTTGATGAGAGAGTTGGAATGCTGAGTTCTCTGGATGGAAGGATGCCCCTGACTTTTCACGTGTGGAAAAGGACTATAGCAGCCGTTTAAATTAATGAAAAGGGAAAAGGCTGTGTGTGGTTTTCTGCAATGACCTTGTGTGTAGATACTGAGTTTTCACGGGATCTTTTGGGTGTGAGTTCATCCTTCTCTTCTTTGGTCTTGCTTTATATATCAGACAGCTATTCAAGACCTTCTCTAAAATAGGAACCAAGTCACTTGGAAGAGAAGCGTGTATTTTAATCAGTTGTGAGGAATGTGCTTCCATGGCACTGCCTAACTGAGGAGGTTGTGCTTCTGTTGTGATTCTCTCTCATTTTCTTTGTGTCTGTCACCTCATACATATTTACATTTCAGGATTTTGCTTGAAAGCTATGTTCTCCAGCAAGCTGTCTAGGTTACGTGGCACAAGAAAATCAGAGATTAAATTGGAATAAAGTCTATTTGGTGACTTATTTCAGGTACTGAGGCTCTTTTTCATATAGCTGTTAGGAAAGTTTTCTGCGTTCTGTTTGATCTGTTTCTTGCTTTGGAACCTCCACATATGTTGCCCCCCTTTTCTGAAGGGCACAGAAAAGTATAACCTGCTCCCACTAAGCCAGTTGCATAAATCATCTCTCTCAGAGTAAACCCACAGGGATTTCTTCTGCCTTGGATCCTGATCAGCAAGTTACAGAGTGGGGCTGGTATAATCAGTCATACACAGCATACAAGCCACTGGATACATTCTTTCACACTGTTTTAAAATCACGGTGCTTCACCTGAGGTCAGGAGTTTGAGACCAGCCTGACCAACATGGTGAAACCCCTTCTCTACTAAAAAAACAAAAATTAGGTGGGGATGGTGGTGTGCACCTGTAATCTCAGCTACTCGGGAGGCTGAAGCAGGAGAATTCCTTGAACCCGGGAGGCGGAGCTTGCAGTGAGCGGATATCGCGCCACTTCACTACAGCCCGGGTGAAAGAGCGAAACTCCATCTCAAAAAAAAAAAAAAAAAAAAAAAATAACGATGCTTTGTAGAAAATGGTTCTTGTTTCCTTTGATTCCAGGTGAAGTTTTATGCCATGGTTATAAAGCCGTGGGAAGTGGGTACCTTTAATGGAGATGTTTCCAAAACCTTAATTATCAAGGAACAAGGGGTTCTTAAGGTTTTGTAGGGTGGGAGTGAAGTGAGGAAAACATCACAGTGCATATGGAGGCACATTATCTGGGACCACGTTAGACACAGCTGAAATGCAGGTATGTGACTGGATATGCAACATAAATTCCATAATAAATGGAAATTGTATTTTTGAAACACTGAAAGGCGTAAGTGAATTAATCTTTTGGCTTTAACTCCATGGGCTGCGTCCTATTCTCGGCGGAGCTATACACTTAGTACTGAATGAGACAAAAGATAGGGAAGCCCTCTTGGCTGGCAGCCTTAAAATTAAGTGAGGATTGTTTTTGTCCCTGTAGAGATGGGAAGAGGAGTCTCTGAATGGCTACGCTTTATGTACAAAACCAAACCGGGGTGCTGTAATTTTATAAATTCTCAGGGTTTTCAAGCTCTTAAAGAGGTGTCAAAGGCAACATTATTCTGTAAGCATGCAATCATGGCTAGAATTTGTAATTTTATTTTATTTTTCACTCTATGTTTCATTTTACTTTATGTCATAAAATGCTGCTGGAGATCTCAGATTTCATCATTCTGCTAGTGATTGATCCTTTTCCCTTGGACTTTGAAGGTGAGAAGGGTAGGAGGTGCTGAATAACCAGACTCAATAGGGGAGATCCTGAAGGCCGCATGAGAGCCTGGGGCTTGAGCTCCTTGGCCTGCAGCAAAGCCTTTGCTCTTCTGGTTATAGCTGCCTAGTTCTGTACTGAAAAGAGATGCATGTAAGTTCAGAACAAATTGTAAAAATTAAATCTTGCTTAATAAAGGTTTCCATTTGGTATATTAGGGAGGTTGTGAAGGAATATTTGTGTATCTATATTTTATTTCCTTACGATGTGCCTTTACAGAAAACGTTTTTTCCATGGTTAACAAGTTGTTCCCTCCTGATATGTGTGTATGTTGTCACATGTACAGTAGGAGTGGAAGTACCTGTTCATTCAGCCAGGGAGCTCTGCCATTTAGATATAGAGCTGTGAGTTCACAATTCCTTACCTGAATTGTGTTTTATGCTGTTCAAAAGTTAGTGAGGTTCAAAGGTACCCTAATTAGAGACTTTTTAATGCATTATTGTAATGAACCTCCTCTATAGAAAATAAATAGGAATCTAAGTTTTCTTTTCCCTCAGTTGTGATGTGAACATTTACCTAAATGTAACTAGACGTTGACAAGCAATCTGTCAATTCTATTTTAAAACTAAAGAGAAACAATTTTTAAACCACCTTTTTGAGGTCTCATTGCCATATGGAAAACTGTACATATTCAATATCTATATCTCTATGAGTTTGAAGATGAATACACGCCTGTGAAACCATCACCCATCAAGGCCATAAACATCCATCACCTCCCAAATTTTCCTCCTGTTCCCTTTATTATGATTATTGTTTTCTGAGGCTTTTCTGTTGTTTATTTTTTGTTGTAAGAACAATTAACATAAAATCTATCCTTTTAAGAAATTCTAAGTATACAATACAGTGTTATTAGCTATAGGCACCATAGTAGATCACCAGAGCTTATTCATCTTACGTCACTAAAACTTTGTACCCTTTAACCATACATTCCCCATTTCCTCCCGCTCCTGAAGCTTCTGTTAATTACCCTTCTACTCTCTGCTTCTATGAGTTAGTTATTTTAGATTCCACATGTAATTGAGATTATATAGCATTTGTCTTTCTGTGTCTGGCTTAGTTTACTTAATATAATGCCTTAAAGGTCCATCCATGCTGTAGGAAATGGAAGGATTTTCTTCTCTTATAAGGCTGAATATTATTTCATTATATGTATATATCACATTTCCTTTATCCATTCTTAGTTTGTAGACATTTAGTTTGCTTCCATATAGGCTATTGTGATTAATGCTGCAATGAACATGGGAGTAGATATCTCTTAGAGATAATGGTTTTATTTCCTTTCGATATATACATAGAAGTGGAATTGCTGGATCATATGGTGGCTCTATTGTTCATTTTTAAAGGAACTTCCATTGGTTTTTTTTTTTTTTTTTTTTTTTTTTAGATGAAGTTTCGCTCTTGTTGACCACGCTGGAGTGCAGTGGCATGATCTCGGCTCACTGCAACCTCCACCTCCTGGGTTCAAGCGATTCTCCTGCCTCAGCCTCCCAAGTAGCTGGGATTACAGGCACGTGCCACCATGCCTGGCTAATTTTTGTATTTTCAGTAGAGAAGGGGTTTCTCCATGTTGGTCAGGCTGGTCTCGAACTCCTGACCTCAGGTGATCCAGGATTACAGGCATGAGTGTGGTGCCTGTAGACACTTAGACCAATGGAACAAAATTGAGAGCCCAGAAATAAATCCATACATGTACGGTCAACTAAGTCCATTGGTCTACAGGCACAGCCTCCATATTGTTTTTTATAATGGCTGTTCCAGTTTACATTCCCATGTGCTATGTGCAAGCATTCCCTTTTCTCCACATTCTTGGCAACACTTGTTATCTTTTTTTTTTTTAAATAGCCATTCTAACAGATGAGAGGTAATGTCTCATTGTGGTTTAAATTTGCATTTCACTGATGATCAGTGATATTGAGCATCTTTTCATATATCTGTTGGCCATTTGTATGTCTTCTTTTGAGAAATGTCTCTTACGGTCCTTTGCTCATTTTTTCAATTGGGTTATTTGGCTTTTTGCCATTCACTTTAATGAATTATTTGTATGTTTTGGATATTAACCCTTATCAGATATATGGTTCACGGATATATTCTCCCATTTTGTGGGCTACCTTTTTGCTTTGTTGATTGTCTCCCTTGTTCTGCAGAAGCTTCTTAGCTTGATGTAGTTCCACTTACTTATTTTAGCTTTTTCTTGGTCTGTGCTTTCAGTGTCATATCTGAAAAATTATTGCCAAGACCAATGCTAAGGAGCTATTTCCTCTGTATTTTCTCCTAGGAGTTTTATGGTTTCAGCTCTTAGGTTGAAGGCTTTAATCTGTTTTGAGTTGACTTTTGTATATGACATAAGGTTGCAGTTTTATTCTTTTGCATGTGGTTATCCAGTTTTCCTAACACCATTTGAAAAGACTATGCTTTGCCTATTGTGTCTTCTTGGAGCTCTTGTTGAAAATTAATTGACCATATATATACGGATTTATTTCTGGGCTGTCAATTTTGTTCCATTGGTCTAAGTGTCTGTCTTTATGTCAGTGTCATATTACTTTGATTACCTGGTGATATAATTTAAAATCAGTAAGTACAATTCCTCCAGCTTTCTTAGTCATGCTCAAGATAGCCTTGGCTATTTGAGATCTTTTGTGGTTCCATGTGAATCTTGGAATTGTGTTTTCTACTTCTGTGAAAAATGTCACTGGAATTTTAAATAGGGATTGCATTGAATTAGTAGATCACTTCAGATAGTATGGATATTTTAACAACATTGATTCTTTCATTCCATAAACATGGGATACCTTTTTAGTTATGTGCGGATACTTTTCTTTCATAAATGTGTTACATTTTCAGTGTATGGATCTTTCACCTCTTTGGTTAAATTTATTCTCAAATATTTTATTCCTCTTAATGCTATTTTAAATGGAATTGTTTTCTTAATTTCTTTATTTGATAGTTCATTGTTGGTGTATAGAAATAAAATTGATTTTGCCTGTTGATTCTGTATCCTGAAACTTTACTGGAGTCATTTATTAGTTTTAACAGTTTTGTGTGTGTGTGTGTGTGTGGTGTGTGTGTGTGTGTGTGGAGTCTTCAGGCCTTTCTATGTATAAGATTATGACTGCAAACAGAGACAATGTAACTCCTTCCTTTCTGACTTGAATGACTTTCATTGCTGTCTCTGACCTAGTTGTTCTTGTACTGGGACTTCTAGTACTAGGTTGAATATAAGTGGTGAAAATGGGCATCATTGTCTTGTTCTTGATTTTAGAGAAAAAGTTTTCAACTTTTCATTCTTGAGTATGATGTTACCTATGGGCTTGTCATACATGGCCTTTATTGTGTTGGGATATATTCATTCTATACCTAATTTGTTGAGAGTTTTTTATTATGAGAGGATGTTAAATTTTGTTAAATGCTATTCTGCATCTATTGAGATGATTATATAATTTTTATCTCTCATTCTATTAGTGTGATCTATCACATTTATTGATTTGTATATGTTGAACCATCCTTGCGTCTCAAAGATAGGCTCTCCTTGGTCATGGTGATGATCTTTTCAATGTCCCGTTGAATTCTGTTTGCTAGTCTTTTATTGAGGATTTTTGCATCTATGTTCATAAGGGATATTGGTCTTTTTTTCTTACAGTGTCCTTGCCTGGCTTTTGCATCAGGGTAATCCTGGCCTTGTAGAATGAGTTTGGAAGTATTCCCTTTTCAAATTTTTGGGGGAATTTGAGAAGCACTGGTGTTAATTCTTATTGAAATGTTGGTAGAATTTACCAGTGAAGCCATCTGGTTCTGGACTTTTCTTTGTTGGGAGACTTTTGA
The DNA here is from genome assembly GCF_000001405.40 of Homo sapiens. Classification (NCBI taxonomy): domain Eukaryota; kingdom Metazoa; phylum Chordata; class Mammalia; order Primates; family Hominidae; genus Homo; species Homo sapiens. The sequence goes on from NC_000006.12 coordinate 163,848,753, forward strand.
TTAGTGATTCAATCGCCTTACTCACTATTTTTTTGTTCAGATTTTCTATTTCTTCATGGTTTAGTCTTGGTAGGTTGTATATTTCTAGGAATTTATCCATTTCTTCTGAGTTATTCAATTTGTTGCTGTATAATTGTTCATAGTAGTCTCTTAAAATCCTTTGTACTTCTGTGGTATCAGTTGTAATCTCTCTTCTTTCATGTCTGATTTTATTTATTTGAGTCTTCTCTGTTTTTTCTTAGTCCAGCTAAAGATTTGCCAGTTTTGTATTCTCAAAAAGCCAGCTCTTAGTTTGTTGATTTTTCTGTTGGTTTTCTAGTCTCTATTTTACTTATTTATGCTCTGATCTTTATCATTTTCCTCTATTAAATTTGGGCTTAGTTTGTTTCTCTTTTTCTCGTTCCTTCAGGTGTAAAATTTGATTGTTTCTCTGAAATCTTTCTTTTTTCTTAATGTAGGCATTTATTGCTACAAACTTCCTTTTTATACCTGCTTTTGCTGCATCCTATAAGTTTTGGTATTTTGTTTCCATTTTTGTTTGTTTCGAGATACTTTTCTGATTTCCCTTTTAATTTCTTTTTTTTGACTCATTGGTTATTCGGGAATGTATTGCTTAATTTCTACCTATTTATAAACTTTCCAAGTTTTCTCCTGTGATTGATTTCTACTTTTATACCATTGTGGTAAAGAAATCTGATATGATTTCAGTATTCTTAAATTGGTTAAGATTTGTTTTGTTGCTTAACATGTGATTTATTCTGGATAATGCTCCATGTGTGTTTGAGAATAATGTATATTCTGTTGCTGTTGGAGGGAATGTTCTGTATATGTCTATAAGGTCCATTTGGTCTATAGTGATGTTTGAGTCATTGCTTATTAAAAAGCTGTTTCTTAATTTGATTTTCTGTCTAGATTATCTATTCATTGTTGAAAGTGAATACTAAAGTTCCTTACTGTTACTGTATTGCTATGTATTTCTTCATTCAGTTCTGTTAGTATTTGCTTTATGTATTTAGGTGTTCTAATGTTGGGTGCATATATGTTTATAATTGTTATATCCTTTTGATGAATTGGCCCCTTTATCATTATATTATGAATTTATTTGTCTTGTGTGACAATTTTGACTTTAAGTTTTTCTTTTTTGATATAAGTATACCCACTTATGTTCTCTTTGGGTTACAATTTGCATGTAATATCTTTTTCCATCTTTTCAGTTTCTGCTTATGGGTGTCTTTAAATCTAAAGTGAGCCTTTTGTAGGCAGCATATAGTTGCCTCTTTAAAAAAATCCACTTAATCTCTCTATATCATTTGATTTGAGAATTTAATCTATTTATATTTTAAGTAATATTGATAGATAAGAACTTACTAGTGCCATTTTTGTTTATTATTTTCTAGTGGTTTTATATATCTTTTGTTTCTTCTCTTCCTTTGTGATTTGACTAGATTTTTGTAGTAGTATGCTTTGATTTATCTTTTCTGTATCTATTATAGATTTTTGATATGTCATTAACATGAGGCTTAACATGAAACATTATAGCTATACCAGTCTATTTTAAACAGTTAATTTAATTTTAATTGCATATGGAAATTCTACAGTTTTAGTCCTCCCTTTCACACATTTTATGTTATTACCTTCACAATTTACATCTTTTTATATTATGTATCTGTTAAAAATTATTGTAGGTATAGTTATTTTAATACCTTTGTCTTATAACTTTTATACTACTGCTAAAAGTGATTTATACACCACTATTATAGTATTAGAATATTTTGAATTTGTGTATATACTCACCTTTATCAGTGAGTTTTGTTCCTTCATATGTTTTCATGTTACTAATTAGTGTCTTTTTGTTTCAATTTGAAAAACTCCTGTTAGTGTTTTTTGCAAGGTAGGCCTAGTGGTGAACTCCTACAGCTTTTGTTTTTCTGAGAAGGTCTTTATTTCTTCTCCATTTTTTTTTTTTTGAGGCAGATTCTTGCTCTGTCATCCAGGGTGGAGTGCGGTGGCACTATCATGGCTCACTGCAGCCTCAACATTCCAGCCTCAAGTAATTCTCCCATCTCAGCCTTCCAAGAAGCTGGGCCTATAGGCATGCACCACAATGTCTGACAAACTTAAAAAACAATTAGTAGAGATGAGGTCTTGCTATATTGCCCAGGTTGGTCTCAAACTCCTGGGATGAAGCTATTATTCTGCCTTAGCCTCCCAAAGTGTTGGAATTACAGGTGTGAGCCACTTTGCATGGCCTCTCCTTCATTTTTGAAGGACAGATTTTCTGTACATAGTATTCTTGGTTGGTAGTTTTTTCATTCAGCACTTTGAATGTACTGGTTGACTTTGAACAACATAGGTTTGAACTATGTGGGTTCCCTTGTATGCAGATTTCCTTCTACCTCTTCCATCCCTGAGACAGCAAGACCAACCTTTTTGTTTCCTCCTCCTCCTCAGGATACTCAGCATCAAGATGACAAGGATGAACACTTTTATAATGATCCACTTCTACTTAATAAATAATAAATGTACTTTTTCTTTGTTATGATTTTCTTAATAACATTTTCTTTGCACTAGTTTACTCTATCATAAGAAAACAGTATATAATGCATATAGCTTATAGAATATGGATTAAATAACTGTAATGTCATTGGTTAACACTTTAGGTCAATAGTAGGCTACTAGTAATTAAGTTTTGGGGGAATCAACAGTTATACATGAATTTTTGACTGTGTAGGGGGTTAGTGTTCCTAACCCCCATGTTGTTTGAGGGTCAACTGTATTATCCATCTAATCTGCAATGTTTCTGCTGAGAAAATGTACGGATAGTCTCATGGAGGTTCCCTTATATGTGCCAATTTGTTTTTCTCTTGCTACTTTCAAAATTCCTTCTGCATTTGACTTTTGGCAATTTGATTATAGCGTGTCTAACTGAAGACCTTTCATGCTCAACCTATTTGAAGTTTTCTGTGCTTCATGGATCTGGACATTCATTTTCTATATTTGGGAAATTCTCTGCAATTATTTCTATAAATAAGCTTCTATGCTTTTCTTACTCCTGTCTCCTTCTGGAACTCCCATAATGTGTATGTTGGTTTGGTCAATTGTGTCCCATGTATCCCATAGGTTTTCTTTTTTATTTTCTTTTTGTTTCTCTGACCGGATAATTTTGAATGATCTGTCTTTGAGTTTATTGAATCTTTCTTCTGATTGATTGAGACTGCTGTTCAAATTCTTTACTGCATTTTTTAGTTCAGACACTATATTCTTTAGCTATAGAATTTCTGTCATGTACTATTTTCCTGAATTCAGTTAGTTGTCTATATGTTCTTTTGTAGCTCACTGAGCTTCTTTAAAATGATGATTTTGTATTATTTGTCAGGAATTTCACAGATATCCATTTCTTCAGTGTTAGCCACTGGAGCTCTATTTTGCTCCCTTGGTGGTGATATGTTTCCTTGATTCTCTGAAGACTTATACTGCTGTCTTTGCATTTGAAGAAGCAGTCACCTTCTCCAGTCTTTACTGACTGGCTTCATGAGAGAAAGATCTTCACCAGTGGGCCTAGATAGTGATTCTGGGGGTCTTTAAAGCTTTTCTATGTGTGTGCCTATTCCACTTTTCTTGTTCATTCTTATGGGGGAATCTTAAGAGATTGTGTTCCTTTTCTCATTCCCATAAAGCCAGGCCTCACAAAGTTGTGAGTCTGCTATTTATTTTCTCTAGGGCAGTACCCTGAAGTGTTCTTCAGGGAACAAAACTGCGTTCCTTCTCCTAAACCAGCAGATTTGAGCTGGATGCTAAGAGCCACACCTCTGTTGATACCCAGCATGCTGTCTGTGGGAGCTTACATGGGGTGTTCACAGAGCACATGGGGTGCTGTGCACAGGGGACTGCCACTTTATGGAGTCCATGAGCTGGTTAACAGGATCTGTGGCCAGCTGTTGAGAAATGTACCGGTTGCTATATGCTGCTCCCTGCCACCTTGTTTCTAGCTGCCCCCAGACGATTCAGCCATGCCAGTCCCCTCAGTGTTCTGGGTGGAGGAGACAGAAATGAGCATGCTGGGTGCATCCTGCAAGGCTTGGGAAGCCAGCTGCTCACTTTGCTCTCATTTTCCACTGTGGGAGATATTGTGGGCTGAGGAAGTCTCTTTCAGCACCAGGCCATGCTGAGTGTGATAGGGGTAAAGTGAAACTACTCTTCTTACCCTTTTTAATGCATTCACTTACCTCAAATTTTTTGTTCCACTGGGGTGCTGGAACCTCTCAGCTAGATTCTGGGACTTTCCGAAGGCATTCTTGTCCATGGATGGTTGCTGAAACCAGTGCTTCTGTGGGGCCATAAGGGCTGGATCCTCCCATGTTGCCATTTTACTAACATTACTAACAATTTCTTAATTATTAAAAGAATATGTCACAGAGCAGAGTTTGGAAAATTTTAAGTGACAGAACTCCATTTTAAAATCAAATACCACATGTTCTCCCTCATAGGTGGGAATTGAACAATGAGAACACTTGGACACAGGGCGGGGAACATCACACACCGGGGCCTGTCGTGGGGTGGGGGGATTGGGGAGGAATAGCATTAGGAGAAATACCTAATGTAAATGACGAGTTAATGGATGCAGCACACCAACATGGCACATGTATACCTATGTAACAAACCTGCACGTTGTACACATGTACCCTAGAACTTAAAGTATAATTTAAAAAAAGTAAATAAAATAAAATAAATATGGATTTTTTGCAATTGAATGAATTGTGTCTACCCCAAGATCATCTGTTGAAGCCCATCCCCCCAATGTGATGGTAATAGGAGATGAGGCCTTTGGAGAGTAATTAGGTTTAGATGATGTCATGAGGGTGGGTCCCCCATGATGGCATTATACTCTCCCTATAGGAAGAGGAAGAGAGACCAGAGCTGTCTCTCTCTTCCTGCCATGTGAGGACACAGTGAGAAGGCAGTCTGTGTCTTCTACAAGCCACGAAGGAAGTCTTCACTGGAACCCAACCATGCTGGCATCCTGACCAGAAACTGGGTGGCTTAAACAACAAAAGTTTATTTTCTGACAGTTTTGGAGGCTAGAAATCCCAGATCGAGATGATATGAGGGTTGGTGTTGGCGATTCCTCTATTTTTGGCTGATAGATGGCCACCTCTTGTTGTGTTCTCACATGACCTCTGTTCTGTGAGTGTGTGGGAGATTGCTCTCTGGTCTTTCTCTTCCTGTAAAGACACCAATCCTATTCAATTAGGGCTTCACCCTATGACCTCAGTTAACCTTCATGCCCTTCCTAAAGACCCCATCTCTAAATATAGTCACATGGGGAGTGAGGGCTTCATATGAACTTTGTGAAGACCCAATTCAGTCCGTAACAGGGGTAAGCAAATATTTAATTCATAGAATTGATGTGACGTTTACATGGTTAATACATAAGAAATGCTTGAAACAGTGCCTTGTAGAGTGTAAGTGCTTAATAATTGTTAGTTGTTTTTATTATTAGAAAATCGTGGCTTTTTTTAAAAAGTCTGATCCATATTGATAGTGCCCAAACTTTGGAAAGAGGTGGATAATTTCATGTGGTTTTACTCAGCACTATCTTAGCAGACAGAGGTCCAAGTTAGTTCCTTCTGTCCTGCAACCTGAGCCTTAACACCCCTGGGACCCTCATGGAAGTGGAGGCCAGTGGAGCTGCTCCACACCTTGAGAGCTGAGTGTGCAATTCTCTGCCTGTCAGTTTTCACTCTTCTAACCAAGAAGGTCTGCTGAACATGATGAGGAGGTGAGTTTCATGTTTGGCTTGTCCCAGTCCAGATCTGCAATTTCAGTTTTGGCAGAACAAGGCTGGTCTAAGACAGCTGGGAGCAAAAAATTCATGCACCAGTTTGGGGGCAGAAGCTGGGTTCCATTAATCTCTGCAGTCTGGGTGACCGTCTCAATGCCTAGGAAAGCAGAGAGTGTGTCAATAAATATTTGTTGAATGAATATATAATGAGTGAATGGTGGTTGAATAGTGCCTTTCTTTTAAAGATTGGTGAGATACAAAGGTTTGTCTGTAGCCTCTTTTCTCCCAAAAAAAAAAGTAAGAATAGAAAAGAAAGAAGGCAGAAAGACAAAAAAGAAAAAGAAAGAAAAGAAGAAAGGGAGAAAAAAGGAAGAAAATAGGAAGGCAAGAAGAAAGGAAAGAAGGAAGAAAAGGAGGAGGGGGAAAAGAGGAAGGGAGGGAGGAACACAGCTGTCTTAGAATTTGGGAGGAACACAGCTGTCTTAGAATTTGGGAGGAACACAGCTGTCTTAGAATTTGCCACTCTGGAACCTGGCTGTCATGGGCTTACACTTGCCTCACTTATCATATATGTCACCCAATTAATTATTTTCTACTTTGACATCCACTCTTGTATGCCCCCTGGGCTGTGCTGAGACTGGCTCCACCCAGATCTTTTTGACAAGGAAGACTGCCTGACTCCAGTTGAAAGGTGTGAGAATATACAATGTAGAAAATTAATCAGCCAAGGCAGGAAAAAAAAAATAGATGGAGAAGGAAAAGCTTCTTTGCTGTTTCCATTAGCATCCTTTCATTCCTCTTTCCTTATGCTTCTCTTGGACTTTTTCTAATTGTAGAACGCTTGGTGCAGAAGAAAACAGCAGTCAGAAGAGTCGACAGAAGAGTGAAGTTGGGTGCTAGTCAGGCCTGGTGATTTATGTGCCCATCTGCACGGGTTTGAATCTCTATTCAGGCACATAGTGAATTGAGGCCAGGTGGCCAAGGCCCTAGGGCAGATTGGGCAGGTAGACTTAAAGCACAGACACAAACTCGCAGACATTTACATATGTGCATGACTTTGAGAAACTTCCTTGGAGGCGGGGTAGAAAGAGTGCATTCTAGAAAGCGAGGGACTCAGGTTCAAGACTAATGCTCTTTTTGTGGCCTTTGCATGTAACATGATTTCTCAGTTTTCTCACCTGAGATAAAAATGTTGATCATCTCCAAGGACACTTGCAGCCCCTATGCTCCATAATTATGCCATGCTATTTTACCCTTCCACTGAAGGAACTTCACCACCCCCAGCAGCCGGGGATGGCAGGCAGGTTGCTAAGCCCCCACCTTCAGCCTTCCTTGGGCTGCAAAGGACCTTGTAGACAGCCCAGGCAATGAAATACTGCTCCCCCAAATAATGCAAGTTAGCAACAAAATCAGGGGAACAAAAACCTATATTGTATGCTAAGGGGCTGAGGTATCTAAAACTAAGAAAAGGGCCTTGAAGAATTGGAAATGGAAGCCCCACAGATCACGGGAGCGAGGAACATTGGGGTTCTGTTCCCATAACAGAGCTCATCCCTCCACACAGCGTGTGTGGGGGCGTTCAGATAACCCCGGCAGGTCAGACCTCCTAGATTACTACTGGCCAGGACCAGAATTTAGACAAGTTGTTGGAACACAGAAAAGCAATTTGGTATTGAAGGGTATTAAAATTACCAGTAGCTTTTAAAAATTCCTCCCCAAAATGAATAATAAAAACATTTTGGCCATTTGGTCATAAATAGAGCAGTTCAATAGCACAAGAAATCACGCCGACAGTGCAGGGAGACATAAAGGCTCTGAATTATGTATTAATATGTCACGTGAGAAGAAAAAGTGCTAAAGAAATAGTGTAAGAAAAATAAATAAAGCCACATTAAAAGTGAACGTGTCCCATTTGGTCAGTTATGTCAAACGTAAAACAACAAAAAGCCCCGTTTGGAAGTTAACATTTTTAATTTCACTGCTGCCTTCTCCATTATAAACTGTACTGAGGTGTGAATAGACCCTGGGCTGAAACATTGATTTTTATGTCTACATTGAATATAAATACATTTTTAAAGAATGTGCAAGGTAGGACATGTATAAAAATATTAAATTGGAACTGACAGTCCTCTTGCCATCATTATTTCCTTCAAGAAAGACCACATTTTACTGGGACCTCTGATCAGCAGGTGCTTGGAGGACCTGACCCCAGGCTCTGATCTAGAATGGACTGTTCTGAATATGCCTAACTTGGGCCTTAATTTTCTTGTCTGTGAGGTTAGTGTTAGGTATATTTTCTTATTTATTATTATTAACGATAGCAACAACACAATTACCGCTCCTGTAAAGAAGTGCATTTATTGAAGTAAATACCCCCATATATTCAGAGACAAAGTCCAAAATACTAGGCTAGGGCTCCACATTTTCTGGAAATTTAGAGCCTGCTTTTTACAACATTGTCTTGAAGAACCACACAAATCTCATACATTTAACTTTGCTGTGTTTGCTTGTGCGTTTGGGTAAATCACTAAAATTTTCTGTTTTGTATTTCAAGGAGAAAATAAATGTCACATGAATAGGAAGAATGCCACATTTTGAAATACAGAGTTCAGTTGCTGTGGGGATGAGAATAAGGGGATTAAGGCCCAGGGGATGCATAGATGAGGGTCTTCATTGCTCCTTAGCCTTGAGCTCCTCTTCCCCACACCCAATCCCTGTTTTTCTTCCCATCTCAGCCAAACTCTGATGTGCAGAGCTAGGAGGAACTAGGAGGGTTTGGCTGATAAGGGCTGTAAATAATGTACACCTCTGCTGTTGTCCATATTATATTGGGGTGACATTCCATCTCCATGTATTGATGGCTTAGATTTCATTATAGATTTCTTTTACACTGGAAGCTTGAGTACTACTCTGGGAAGTTGCTGGTATTGAATATACTACCTTATACTATACTTATGCTAAGCTTTTCTATTCTATCTGCAGGATACTATAATACTGATATGGTGAAAGTTGTAAATGCCATTCACATTTTTGTGAACCTCTATCATTTACCAAGCACATCCACAGGCATTATTATCTTATTTTGATTGGGAAACTTACAGGACTCCAGTGAGGCTGTTGAGGCAGGAATGCTTGAGGAGATTCTTTGTAGCTGAGGTTTACACTTCCACTTAAAAAATAAGCAAACAGGCCAGGTGCAGTGGCTCACACGTGTAACCCCAGCACTTTGGGAGGCTGAGGTGGGCAGATCACCTGAGGTCAGGCATTCGAGACCAGCCTGGCCAACATGATGAAACCCTGTCTCTACTAAAAATACAAAAATTAGCCAGGCATGGTGGTAGGCACCTGCAATTCCAGCTACTCGGGATGCTGAGGCAGGAGAAACGCTTGAACCTGTGAGACAGAGGTTGCAGTGAGTCGAGATCGTGCCATTGCACTCCAGCCTGGGCAACAAGAGTGAAACTCCATCTTAAAAAAAAAAAAAAAAAGGCAAACAGTTGGTATTTACCCCATGTTATTTTGTAGTTATACCAAGGTTAGTAATTTCCATTTCAATTTGTTACAGAGGCATTGATGGACTTCATTTAGGCTTTGAATTCTCATTACCACATAGAATTACTCACGTTCAAGTTAGCTGCATATGGAATAAGGACAAGTGGTTAATCTGAATGGCCAGCCCCCAGTGGACAAGCTGTGCCTCTTTCCTAGGCAATATTCTTAAGGACTAACGATGTTGAGTAGAAAGTATATGAGCTTCACAGGATTGGTTTCAACACCTAGTTTACTTGCTCAAATCCTTGCAATCCACTAGTACATCAGAACAGGGGAAAGTCAACTCAACCTTTGGTCCAGATTGGAATAATCAAAAATACCTACGTTTTAGTTTTGGTTTAAAATCAAGACCCAGAAATACTTGTTGGAGGTAGCAACAGGGCTGTTGAAGGAAGATTAGAATTGGAAGAGGGATATTTAAGTTTTCCCATTATATGTTAGCTTTGAGGCATTGGATAGGTCACCTGACCTCTGTATTAGTCAGTTTTCTTCTCTGTGAAATAGGACAATAAAATCGTCCTGGTTATGAAAACCTTTGTGGTCATGGGTGACAGGATCAAATGAGAAAACACATGTGAAATC